>NC_000003.12:172038907-172190422 GCF_000001405.40 Homo sapiens | reverse complement strand
AGAACACTAAAAGCATTTCTACATCACCTTCTGATAACTCCCATAGCTGTTGAGTCATCTGCAACCAACTTTATTAAAAACATTATATTTCAAACTATATAATTTTAAACATCAGTGACAGGACACGCTGCTATCTGAATTCCAAGGTGTTTCTGACTTGCTACCATTCCCATAGCATCATGCTCATCCCCCTTCATTCCATTCACCCCTATTTGCGTAGGGCTGCCCATCATATTAAGCACCTTTATAAAGGGTCAGGCACTCCCAGTCGGCTGAACTCCCAAGAGAGGAAGCATTCTAGCAAGGCTCCAGCAAGACAGAGAAATGGATTAGAGTGGAGGATCTGAAAGCAGGCCGCCTGGGTTAGAATTCCAATTCCTGCTCTTGCTAGTTCTGTGAACTTGATCAAGACTTGACGTATCAGTTTCCTCATCTGCACAATAGGAATAAAAACAGCATACTGCCAAGACACAATAAGCCACTAGTAAATGGTAGTTGCTGGTTTTTGAAAATAATAAAAGATCACAATTAAACTGGTTCCCTATCTCCTCAGTCTGAAAAAATAATAAAAACATGACTGAATGACATGATTTTTTTTTTTTTTTTTTTTTTTTTTTTTTTTTAGACAAGGTCTCACTCTGTCACCCAGGCTGTTGTGCAGTGGCACAATCATAGCTCACTGCAGCCTCAACCTCCCAGGCTCAGGCAATCCTTTTGAGCAGCTGGGACCAAAGGCGTGTGCCACCATGCCTGGCTAATTTTTATATTTCTTGTATAGACAGAGTGTCACCATGTTGCCCAGGCTGGTGTCAAACTCCTGGGCTCAAGTGATCCTTCTGCCTCAGCCTCCCAAAGTGTGATTTAAAATAAAAAAAAATTCAAGTAAATCAAATTTGTTTGAAGCACTGGTTTTCTGGAACTCTCATTTATTATTAGATTTAAGAAGGCACTACTTTCATACTCCAAAAATAGAACAGACTACCTCGTTGCCATGGTGATCACCTGTTGAGGTAGGAACACCTTGTCATAGAAAATTTGGAATGAAAAGCAGGTAATTAGCTATGAAGGGTGTTGCAGAGGGGGCTGGAGGTGGGATAAGGTGGCCTCCAGCTAATTTGTTCTAAGTGGGAAATCATTTTTAGCACATCTTGAAAAATACGATTAACATGACAATATTTTGACTGAACATTTTTACAAATCTTCCCCCCTAAAATAACACCCTAGTAGAAAGCAACTTACATTTTTATAAATTAAAAACAATTGTGAATATTCTATTATTATGACAAAAATTTACTAAGTTTAGGTAAGTTCACCATTTCTTGGAAACAAGCATTAATGCTAAAAGAAATACTTACAGTTCCCCAATTATAAAAATACATTAAATAAGTTTTAAATGCTTCCTTTCCCAGTGAGATGATTCATTCTTAGGGTTCTTCTTCCCATAGTGAGGAAAACACCCAAGCAAGGATAAAACAATAGTGAACAAAATAAAATTATGTAATTGAGTACAAAATAGTACATGCAGTCTAAAATGTTGCAAGGAATGTAAGATACCTGGGGAGCAGTGCAGGAAGCGGGGTCTGATTGAGAGTTTCACACTTTAAGGGCACTGAAGATATAGAATCCAAAACAAAGGCGGGAAGATGAAATGTGCAGGGTGTGTGCTCAGTGTACATTTCACAGCCCTGAAACTTCTCAATTAAACAACTTCAGTTTCGGGCCGGGAGCCGTGGCTCACACCTGTATTCCCAGCACTTTGGGAGGCTGAGGCGGGCGGATCACGAGGTCAAGAAACCAAGACCTTCCTGGCCAACATGGTGAAACCCCATCTCTACCAAAAATACAAAAAATTAGCCGGGCGTGGTGGCACCCGCCTGAAGTCCCAGCTACTCTGGAGGCTGAGGCAGGAGAATTGCTTGAACCCAGAAGTCAGAGGTTGCAGTGAGCCAAGATCGCGTCGCTACACTCCAGCCTGGCGACAGAGCAAGACTCCATCTCAAACAAACAAACAAAGAAACAAAAAACCAACTTCAGTTCCACCACTCTAAACATAGCAAGGGGAAACTTCAGTTCCACCACTCTAAACATAGCAAGGGGAAACAGTAATGCCTATAAAACTTTGCTTAAAGGCCAGGCACAGTGGCTTATGCCTGTAATCCCAGCACTTTGGGAGGCCGAGGCAGGTGGATCACCTGAGGTCGGGAGTTTGAGACCAGCCTGACCAACATGGAGAAACCCTGTCTCTACTAAAAATACAAAATTAGCCGGGCGTGGTGGCACATGCCTGTAATCCCAGCTACTAGGGAGGCTGAGGCAGGAGAATCGCTTGAACCTGGGAGGCGGAGGTTGCAGTGAGCCGAGATCGCGCCATTGCACTCCAGCCTGGGCAACAAGAACAGAACTCCGTCTCAAAAAAAAAAAAAAAACTGCTTAAATATAAAAATGGAATTTAAATTATAACTCAATGTATATTCCTAGGGTTGAATTATAATTAATAATAATACAGGCTGGGCCGCGGCTTATATCTGTAATCCCAGGACTTTGGGGGGCCAAGGTGGGCAAACTGCTTGAGCCCAGCCATTTGAGACGAGACTAGGCAACATGGCGAAATCCGCTCTCTACAAAATTACAAAAATCAGCTGAGTGTAGTGGCATACACCAGCTATTCAGGACAATGAGATGGGAGGAACACCTAAGCTGAGATGGCACCACCACACTCTAGCCTGCGCAACAAAGTGAGAATCCAGTCTCCAAAAGAGGGGGAAAAAACAATACAAAGAAAGAAGTTACCCAAACACATCTGCAATATGTTTTTGGGCTACACTTCATTGAAGTTGGTTTAAAAGTTGTAGAAGTAACTGGATAATTATGTCTTCAATTTTTACTAAATATCATTGTTGTTTCTATTATAATATTCCTGAGAACTAATCCAGGATTCACACATTCAATCATTCCTCCAGTATTTACCAAGTGGCCAAGTGCTAGGCATCCCACCAAGGGGCAGAGAGATGAACAGGACTCACGACACCCCTACTGGCAAGAAGTTCAGCCATGGTCAATACAGATGTAAATAAAGCAATTATTTTATACGTTATTATTACACAATGAATAAGAAGAGGTCAAGTAATGTTTTTGCTTAACACATTTCCATTTATTATTTTTAATAAAGAGTTTAAGATCCCATTTTTTAAAAAGTACAATACAGTTGATTTTTTAAAATGAGGTTCTACAAACACTTTTGGACAGTCTAACATACATATAAGCTGTCCCTTTCAACTAGGATATGGGGAAAAGAAGTCAACCCAGTGTTTCCACTTTCCATGAAGGACTTCTCAAGGGCAAGGTAATAAGCAGGAATAAAGCTTCCAAAAACCTGGAAGGACTCTTTCAGGTGGACTAATAAGCATCATCATCACCTGCCTTAAACTACAGTAAAGCCAAGATTGTTAATAATATAGTTCCTTGCTTTTAGCTAGTATAGAAAATAAAATTGAATCACATTGTTGATGGTAATTTTACTTTTGAAACTCAAGTCACAGAACTGACTGTGGGCCACTTAATCCACTTCAGACATTGAAAAGCCACACCGCGAAGTGCTCGTAATGAAGAAATATCTATGACACAGATCATGAAACATGAGAGAGAACAAGGTAAGGGGGAAAAAGCTGAGATGAAAAAATCTTCAATCGCAGGCTCTCTTCACCACTTCATCTGTTAAAAGACAAAAAATCAAGATAGGGAGGTACTAAATGAGGACTCAAATTTTCCATGATTTTCTTGCCATTTTCTTCATTTTTTAAAATGCTGGTATAGGATTTATAAAATAAGAGTAAAAATACCATAGTGCCAAGACACTAGAAACCAGGAATTTGGGGAAATGGCATGTGTATTTTCTCCCTCAGCTCAGGTTTATGTAGTTTGTCAAGCTTTTCCCAGACTGGAGGGGTACTCACTGAGTCCCATGGTGGTCTTCTATGAAGTCACCTATGGATGTGTCCTACCATAAATCTTTAAATTTTTAACTGAACTAATAAAGCAAGTATTTCCGATGCTTTTAGAGGAACATGCTCAAACCCCAAATTGGGAGTTCTTTTCTTATAAAATGTTATGAGGGTGAGGAGAAAAGCACTTGTAATCCCAAATTTTATTTAGACATCAACAGTGATAAACCCAATTACTTATTTTTCCAGTTTCCATATAGTAAAGAAACTATAGTAGGCAGAGCATCATAAGAGAAAAAGGCTTTTGTTCTACTGATGGAAGAAGGGAGTGATGTAAGGATTTCTAAGAATGCTTAATTCATAAAAATTCGTGAAGCTTCCCAACTTTTGAAATCCTTACTTCAGCTTTCACTTCTCTCTTCCTCTTCTAACCTCTCTCACTTGAGACACTTGTAAGATCTATAACCATCTTTTTGCCAATTATATTAACGCTCCTTTTTATTATCTGGTTTCTACATCTTAGTCCACAAGCAAAATAGAAAGTGTGGTCCCCTAAATCAGTGACAGCTCCCAGAGCTAGCCATTTGGTGAAAATTCAATACACTTACTGGACTGAATTTGAGAGTGGCAAAGAAAGTGAAAAGTCTACATTAAAGTAATGCAGTATAATTTCCTCATAATTAAAAAGCACCGCAAATACGTCAAATTATTTTTCTTTGTAATCTACTAAATCACCAATACAAAATTCACAGATTCCATTGGCCTGTTTTCTGGCAACAGTAAATTTTCCTATGATAAACGTACGCTAAATAAAGACACAAGGTATCATGACATATTGCAAACAGCAAGGAATTAAGTTTTGCTTTTAAGTTTTTAAAATCAAAACATTCCTTTTCAAATCTCAATAGGAAATAGACCTCTGCAAAAGAACTATCTCAATCTTAAAAACTTGAAAATACGGTAGATACATTCTGTAGAAGAACTCAATGTCTCTATCTTCCCCAGTGTAACAATGCATGTTTTAAAAAGCTGAAATGCTCTGGTTTATAGTGCATGCAATTTTTCAGAGGTGCGGCCATGCACAGGATTAGGTGTTTTCCAAGTCTATCTGGATCGCTTCTCTCTAATCAATCTTCAGGCTATCAGGCCAATAAATGGGTACAGTGGGAAGAAGATGAGGGGCCAGAAAGGGGTCACGATGTTTTTTAAGTCTACCTAGCTGGAAGAAATGGGAAATCCTTTTTCCAACTTTTTATAAATGAAAAATCTATATGTCATGTGAAAGGAGTTATAAACTTGCCAGAACCAAACCAAATGGATGATGGAGTGGAGATTGTTCAGTGTTATTAATAGACCAATGTTCATGACAACAGTCTCTGAGGAAAACACAATTTCTAAATGGCAAATAGCAATGGCTTTCATCTACCCTCTTGAAAAAATATTTTTAATGGATAATTTTTCAGCACTTAAGACGGTGACTTCCAAAGTGGTCAGAATATTCCTTCTTAATGTTTGTATTTTGAGTCTTTTTTTCTTTTCCTTTGCTTCTGAATCTTAAGTTCATTTGTGGGAATTATCAAAAGGGATACAAGAAAAGACCTCTGCTAATTAGCAGTTCTTGGTGAAATATTTTTACAATATTCCTAGGGATTCTTGCTCCCCACCATCCTGAAAGAAAGGGGAGAACCTAAAGGAAAAGGAAAATTCCAAAAGAAAATTCCTTACAACTGTTACTTGAATGACTGGTGTTGAAACTCAGGAATAATTAGAATGTTGGTGTTTCCAACATTTAAATCTTAACCTCCTTCACATGTCCCTCCTGGATGATCACACACTGCCCTGTGAGGTATACAAACAATTAGCCTTTCTGGTTTTCACACTGATACACCATTTGTCACCATTTCAATGAAGATATGAAACTTGATAGGTCCTGGATTTGAGGGGGTTTTTGTCTGTTTTTAGGACTGATTTATTTTTTCCGCTCAACTCTTGCCTTTTCTTCATACTGTCCTAGGCTGTTTAAATAGAACCAATGACTAGAATAGTTTCTCATATTTTTATAAGTTTTGCCAGAAAGCATACCCTCCCTCTCTCTTACCTAGTATTTTCTTGATCGCCATCACCTCCTCTGGTATATGTTTATTTGTTTAACTCTTTCTTCATTGTCAGTTCTGTTTGCTGCTGTCTTCTCAGCACCCAGAACCAAGCCTGGCATGGTGAGTGCTCATTAATATGAGCTGAGTAAAAGAACAAGAGTAAAAGGGTACAAGAAGCAGCAGAGCGCAGAGATTAAAAGGGCTTTGAGGGGAATGGGGGCCTCTGGACAAATTTCCACCCCATCACTTCATAGCTCTTAATAGCTGCAGGCAAATTACTTAATATTCATTTTTTACTTGTATTTACTTTATAAATTACTTATCTTTATTCACTTATGCCTCCATTTCTTCCTTTGTATTTTTAATAACAGCACCTACACCTCCTAAAGTAATTCTGGGGATCAGGAGGAGGTTACACATCTAGCCATGTACCTGGCATAGAGTAAAAATGAATAAAAGTTAGCTAGTAATATTAATGCAAATCATTATGCCAAAACTTAAGGATAGGAGGAACAAGAAGCCCTAGTCTCAATATTACTGCTTAAAATACTGGAAAGTCATCAGACCTATCAAATGATGGGATGTCAAACCTTCCATTTCCAGAGTGGAAGGGAAGCTACGTGAGAAAGGAAGAAAACACATCCCGCCTACAGTTTAATAATTTTATAATATAGTTGAATTTAATAATACTTCAACAGGTTATCTTAGTTAAGAAGAATAGACAAGGCATATAAACTGCTATGTAAGATTAGCAACACCTGGATAAGTGAAACCATGAAATGTCTCAGAAGACTGAAAGAAATGTAGTGTTACCTGAAGACAAAACGGATTGAATTTTCTTATAAAGCAAACCAGCAGTAAGACCAGTAAGCAACTTAACTGTGTTTCCAACAACAACCAGAAATGGGTTAAAATGATACACACATTCTGACACAGTTCCCTCTCTCAAGAGCCATACTGGACATAAAATTAAGTTAAGCAAATCATGTTAATGACACACAGCAAAAGAGGTATAAAATCAGAGTTTTTCATACATTTATAAAGTAGATGAGAAATGATAGGTTTTAGTACATGGTAAATATAAACCTCTGGAAGTGAAATTGGGAGCAAAAGGGTAATTTTCATTTCCTACTTTACTGGAAATTATAAATTTAAAATTTTTATAACCAATTGTGTTTTTAAATCATCAAACTTAAAAGCTGTCAGATTAAATTTCTGGCTCACTAATCAGAAAGTCTCACTTCATAAAAAACACAAAGAAGAACAAGGATGACCTGGATCTGTCCACACAAATTCTAAAGAGCAACTGCCCAGGGGCTCCTTATTTCTTATTTTTAGAAATTTCATGTCACAGAAGGTGAAAGCAATCTAGAAGACTCATCTTTTAGCTTGCTGTATCTTGCTTTGACTTGCCAAATAGACAACACAATCAGCTTTCCGTAATTTCTCTGCTGCTAGTGTGGCAAAAAGGTGAAGTTTCAGAGCTGAAAGCTTCGTGCCTACACTCAGAGTTCCTTTTACTCCCTTTTCTAAACTAATAAAACACTTCATCTCCATTTCTCATTCACACACCTCAAGTTCATTACATCCTGGTACCAAATTAAACAAATCCTATGATAAGAGAGCTGAAAATTTACTCATGTATCACTGCACTTTTACTTCTGTCGACACGAAAAACATGGAGGATACATTCAAAGTAGAGAAACTTCTTAAGATTCTATGTTGGAATTCCCTGCGTTTAACAGGTTCTTGCAGTCTGGACTTGACTGCAGCAGAGAAGCACTGCTGGATTGAGTATTACACCCAATACAAATCACATCTTGCCCACTCACCTAGCAAATGCCTCCAGCAAAAGTGTATCTACCACAACACCACTGCCCTGTCAGAGCGGACAACCAAAATAGACACATAACCTGTAAGGTCCTGATCATCAGTTCTTACACATCAGGAAGACCCCAGGAAACTCCCAGCTCCAGGAAGTTCTGTTGGTGTCTAGCATACCACATTCACAAGGCTGGCCACTTACGACTCAACCTTCAGCCCTGGCTCTCCAGCTGCTAATGTGAGAAGACCCCGGACAGCCACCAGCCTGACTCATGCTTCCTCCTGACCTCCGTGTTCTCTATCCTTCCTGTGACCACGCCAGCTCCTAGAATTGTTCTCCTCCACTGAGCCCAGCCTTCACTTGCTGCTTCTCATCCTGCTGACAAAGGATTTCTCCCAACTTACCTTGCTGATTCTGGTAGGACAATAGGAAGTCACCCCCACAAGTGCAAAAACAACTCAATGCTGATGTCCTGGGCATAGCAGTCACTGCTGTTGACAAGGTAACACATACTAAAAGCCTATTACTCAGTGCAGCATCCCAAGATGCTTGGTAATGCAACAGGCCTGCTTTGCATCATTCTCAGGCCAAAGTAAGGAAAAAGCAATAACGTACATCCTTCATTTGTCAAGCAGTCTGGGAAACACTGAGACTACATAATGAAATCCACTCAGTGAGTGAGCAGCAGTCTGTGCTCCCACTGAAAATCTTTTTTTTTTTTTTTTTTTTTTTTGAGATGGAGTCTTGCTCTGTCACCAGGCTGGAGTGCAGTGGCGTGATCTCGGCTCACTGCAACCTCTGCTTCCTGGGTTCAAGCAATTCTCCAGCCTCAGCCTCCCAAGTAGCTGGCACTACAGGTGTGTGCCACCACACCTAGCTAATTTTTGTATTTTTAGTAGAGATGGGGTTTCACCATGTTGGTCAGGCAGGTCTCAATCTTGTGACCTCGTGATATGCCCACCTAGGCTTCCCAAAGTGCCGGGATTACAGGCATGAGCCACCACGCCTGGCTTCCCACTGAAAATCTTAATTACTTCCCTCCTCCTTAGTTTAAGGGAAATCAGGAGAGAAAGGCTGTCTTTGAAGAAGACGGGCCAACATTCTACTTGACCACAAGACAGTAAATTCTAAAGGTGTTTTTTTTTGTTTTTTTTTTTTTTTTTTTGGAGACAGAGTCTCACTCTGGCACCCAGCTCTGGAGTACAGTGGTGTAATCATAGCTCACTGCACCCTTGACTTCCCAGGTTCCAGTGATCCTCCCACCTCAGCCTCCTGAGTAGCTGGGACCACACGCCACCACACCCAGCCAATTTTTGTATTTTTGGTAGAGACAGGGTTTCATCGTGGTATCCAGGCTGGTCTCGAACTGCTGGGCTCAAGAGATCCATCCACCTGCCTCGGCCTCCCAAAGTACAGGGATTACAGGCATGAGCCACCACACCAGGCTGTCATCTTAGAATATATCTACTTAGAATGCCTATATCATTTCCAATATTATTTCCAGGGCTTATTCTAATAGAGGTTCAAAATCAGTTAGAGATTATTAAGAAAGCCAGCTTCTCTCAAGTCTAAGAAGTAAATATCACCTTTATATATAATGTCTCCCCCCATTATATTTTTTTGCCCCAACCTAAACAATAGCCTCCAAATGATACCAATTTTTCCCGCTTCTGAGGAGACTGAAACAGGATCTACAAGATCACACCCACCTCTAAGATACTAAGAATCTGAAAGTAATGCCAGCTTTAGAACTGGTTCCACAAATCCAGGCATATTTTATAACCATTCTATGGGCTCTTTCCTATATGGGCATCTTTCTTCTCAAAACTGTTCCAATGACTGTCTGCCCATTTCTGTACTGGCACAACTAGAGTTCCACACTCCGGATCAAACCCGCTAGCTAACTTTGACCTCTCCCACATCCCTCATATCTAATCAGTTGCCAAAATCTGTCTGCTCTGCCTCCTTAGATACATTCTCTTCTCTCCATTCCCACAACTAACACAGGACTTTGTATAAAAGAAGGATGCAAGTATTTGTTTCATGAGTGAATAAACTAGATGATCACAATTTATCCTGAGAAGTTTCATTTATAAACACACACACAGCATGACCCCTGCCTTGAGGGAACCATGGGTTCTATCTAAAGACCACAGTGCATACTTAGAGGAGAATCATTCATGTTCTCAAACAGTAGTGAGCCTGGGGATCACTTAGGGGCTTATTAAAATGCAGAGCCCAGAGCCTTACTTCCAGAGACTCCCCCTCAACAGGTCTGCAAGGGGCCCAGGATTCTGCATTTTTACTAAGCACTCAGGAGATCCACAGTCCACATCTGACAGATTCCAGCTGGAAGGACAGCAGAAGCATGGCTCGACCCAAGGGAAAACACTGTGCACACCCACTTCTCTGGTGTATTTCAGAAAATACACTTGCTTTGCCAGTGACCCCACTAAGTCCAAGGTACATGTGCAATCAAAATACGCAAACATGAAGAGAAGAAGAGAAATGTTTGTATGAGTCATTAGGTCAGAGTGAGGCTTGGTCAGGGTCACAGAAAATTATGATTGACAACTGTGAAATGTAAAAACCCCAAAGAGGTCATTCAGCCACACCCCTCATCAGAGAGATGAAGAAACGAAACTAAGGCCCAGTAAAATTACCTGTTTACACTCTTTTTTTTTTTTTTTTTTTTTTTTTTTGGAGACAGGGCCTCACTCTGTTGCCTGGGCTGGAGTGCAGTGATGTCATCTGGGCTCAAATGATCCTCCTACCTCAGCATCCCAAGTAGCTCAGTCTACAGGCAGTCGCCACCATGCCCAGCTAACTTTTTGTATTTTTTGTAGAGACGGAGTCTTGCCATGTTGCCCAGGCTAACATCAAACTCCTGGGCTCAAGTGGTCCTCCCACCTTAACTTATCGAAGTATTGGAATTACAGCCGGGAGCCACCATGCTCAGCTTCAACTTTTACAGTTGGGGTGGAGGTCGGAGGTGGTGGGGGAGGGGATACAGTGGGGGAGGGAGGAAGTTTGTGTGTGTTGTAGACAGTGAAGTTGTGGCTCAAAGCCCAGGTGTCCCAGCTCATACCATATATCCTGAACATACAAAATTAATGTTTTGCTTTTAATATGAATGTTTTATTCACCTTAATTTCTACATTCTACATTTACCTTGAGCATAATAGTTATAAACAGGCCCGGCCAGGCACGGCAGCTCAAACCTGTAATCTCAGCACTTTGGGAGGCCAAGGCGGGCAGATCACCTGAGGTCAGGAGTTCGAGACCAGCCTGGCCAACATGGTGAAAACCCGTCTCTACTAAAAATACAAACATTAGCCAGGCATGGTGGCGCGTGCCTGTAATCCCAGCTATTCGGGAGGCTGAGGCAGGAGAATCGCTTGAACCTGGGAGGCGGACTTTGCAGTGGGCTAAGATTGCACCACCGCACTCCAGCCTGGGCAATAAAGCAAGACTCTGTCCCTAAATAAATGAACAAATAAATAAATAAATAAGATAAAGGGGCCCTATGGCCTACTAACCTCTATGGAATAGCAAAAGAGAGTAAACCTTTTCAAAACCATAATTTAAAGACAAACCAATTTTCTAGTCAATATGGTATTCATATTTAATCACAAGGCAGAAATATGAAAATCAAAAATACTAGAGCTTACCCCCTGGGTATGTGGAGGCGCTGAAGGGGGTAGTGTGGAAGAAAAAGACCCTGAAGCTCTCAGAATGTGGCACAGGCTTTTTACCCATAAACTATATTATCCTTCTTTCAATTTTCCCTATCTATGAAATTCTATTATAACTTGCACTTTTATCACCTTTACCATCACTCCCTCCACATATATTTGGTCTCAAGACATAATAAAATCTCAAGAATGTGGGGTCCCAGGGATGCCCCGGCTGAGTGTCCACATGTGTCCAGCTCTTTCGCTTTTCCCTCCTCCCATCTTTTCCTGCTACCCCCATAGCTACAGCCCTAAACCAATGCCAAGCTTTAAAGTCCCTTCACTTACCAGTCTGAGTGTCTTACAATATGGAAAGAAAAAGCATAAGTATTGATTTGAAAAGTCTTGTGAAAAGTTTACAGGCAATGTTAAGTAAAACATGTGATCTTCTCTTCTCACTCTTGCTTGACAAAGTCAATATATGAGCTCTCGGTGACAGCAACCAGCTTGCTACAAATGTCTCCTAGGCCTTAAATTTACATAGTAGTGTATCATGCCTAATGGGTTTGCTGGGGTTTGGGCTAATGTCCACAGGTCAGCATCCTTTAGCCCACAGCTGGAGTGACACTTTAGCCTCTGCCTGCCTCTCCTCCCTTAACCTCTATTCCCTGATGACTGTGGCCATCAGCACTAGGCAATTCAGAGTGCATGGAGGCTGAGAGCTTGGGCTTCAGACCCAGACAGGCCAGTGTTCAATTTCTGCTCCTTCCACAACCAGTTGTATGGTCCTAAGAAAGTTCCTTTCTAAATGTGGTACACAGACACCATGGAATACTATGCAGCCACAAAAAGAAATGAGATCACGTCCTCTGCAGGGACATGGATGAAGCTGGAAGCATCATCCTCAGCAAACTAACAGAGGAACAGACAACCGAACACTGCATGTTCTCACTCATAAGTGGGAGTTGAACAATGAGAACACAAGGACACAGGGAGGGGAACAACACACACTGGGGCCTGTCAGGGACAGGGGTGAGGGGAGGGAGAGCATCAGGACAAATAACTAATGCATGCAGGGCTTAATACCTAGGCGATGGGTTAAGGTGCAGCAAACCACCATAGTACACATTTACCTATGTAATAAACCTGCACGTTCTGCACATGTATCCTGGAACTTAAAGTAAAATTTTATAAAAGAAAAGAAAAAGTTCCTTTCTAAGCTTCAATTTGCCCCTGTGCAAAAAAAAAAAAAAAAAAAAAGATGGTGGTAAAAATGATTCCTTCCTCAGAGCTATTTGGTAAATTTTATCATATAAGGAAATTAAATATAATACAGTATAAGCTTTCAAGACATGAATCTTTCCATCTCTATCTCCAAGACAGATGTTTGAGAATCCCTTCACTTAGTTACAATGTGGCCCACTCTGATTGAGCTACCACATTCATACTCACCTTCTATCAAAAAGCAAAGTTTTACAACTACAAACTCAGACTCCAAAAAAGTTGCAACTTCTATCTAAGCAGCTCTAACGTAATGGGTAAAAGAAGTGCCCAAGGAGTCTGTTAAAATGTAGATTCTGACATCTTTGTCTTCAGAGATCTTGATTCAGTAGACCTGGCATTAGGCCCAGGAATCCGAATACTTAACAGTAACAAAGATTCTTTTTGGTCAGCCAAACTTCAGTTAGGGTTCTGTATCTTCCGCTAGGCCCATATGTGTATTTCCTTGTAGAATCTGGTTTTAGCAAAGAATCCTGTTAAGTCAGTTTCAGAACCCTCCATCCTCAATTTCTGATCATCTCCAATATCTGATCAAGTTCCTCATCCTCCACCATCTCCCCAGGTAATGTCTCAACACCCTGGCCTGTCTTCACCAAGAATCTTATTAGGGCAATTGAGTCAGAAGCCCCCTTACCCCTTAGGTTTTGTCTTAGTAATTTTCCATCCACTGATCCCCACACTGCTCCTTGGCTATAAATTCCCACTTGCCCATGATGATGTATTCAGAATTGAGCCTATTCTCTCTCCCCCACTGCAAGACCCTATTGCAGTGGTCCCTATAGCTATTACAAGGGCCCTGAGTAAAGTCTTCCTCACTGTGCTTCATTCAACAAATATCACAGAATAATTTTTTCTTTAACAAGCACTCCAGACTATTCAAAAAAGTAATAACAGACATCATTTAAACACTAAGCTACAGTTTCAGATGAATTCAGGGTTCCTACAGCACTTTCCAACTGCAAAGCACTCTCACATTATCTCATTCGACCATTGTCATCCCAGGAAGAACTCTAAAGGGATGTTCCCTAATCCTCTGTAATTGCCCACCCCTTCCTCTTCCTGTACATGAAATCTGCAGTTGTAGCAGGAACTAAATTTCCTAACTCAATTCAGAGATTATTTTTATTTGGCTATGGCAAGGAAACTAACAAAAATACTTTATGAATCCAAAGAATGATCTGAGATAGTCCATGGAAGGTTAACTATCAAAACTTTAAATGGAAATCTCACTAGAAACTACCAGGCTCACTCAGAATTCTTGTGTCCTCTTGCAGTTTTTCAGACTTGTTA
Organism: Homo sapiens; assembly: GCF_000001405.40. NCBI lineage: Eukaryota > Metazoa > Chordata > Mammalia > Primates > Hominidae > Homo > Homo sapiens. Next base: position 172,176,315 of record NC_000003.12, on the reverse strand, counting down.
TTACTATACTCGTCTCTCTTAGCTCCACTTCTTTAAAATTTGCTGGTTGTAATCTCATTTGGGCTTAGAAACCAAAAGCTTTAGTGGAACTACTAAAAGATTAAGCAACACCAGGCTCTGGCAAGGGAATGAAGGGCTCTTCTATTAATTCAATCAATGCATGCGTACTTCAGAGTTGGTTTATAGGAAATCCAACTAATCAAAGGCCTTTTCAACCCATTACCTGGCTTGGAACTGGTTTGGGAATGGAACACAGGATTTTATTGCTCTAACCAATATTTTAGCCAAGTGGGGCTTGCACACCTATGCTGAGCTTTCACCTGATGGGGTAAATTTATATTCTGTGTAGACATATAATAGAAAAGGAACAAAAATAGGCTTATAAAACATTCTATAGATAAAACTGTTTGTTACAGGTAAGTTTTCATTTCCATCCACATAGTGCAAACAAAAAATATTAGGGCAGATTTTTCACATCTGTACTACTGTGATCCCCTCCCCAGGAAAAACAATGTCTTCTGGGGAGACCCTTCACACTTCTCCAACGCGGTACAAGGTTCTCACTTACTATGGTAATCATGTGTTTACATATCGGCTTTAGATTTAGGGTTTTCTGTGTGGTTGTCTGTGTAAATTCTGCTTCTAGATTTTACTTAAACCCCTTTAAGGGCAGAATCTACATCAAATTCATTTTCGTATCTCTAAGAATATTCAAAACATAAAAAGAACTCAAGAAATTAAATATTTGCTAAATGAAGAACTATTTGAGGTTCTTCAGCTACACATACTCTAAATGGCCCCTTTCTAAGAATTTGCCTTTCAGCAATGGGGAGGAGAATAGTAGGTCCCAGTTGAGAACAAAAAAGAAAACAAGAGGTGAAAAGAATATGTAAGCATTTTGCTGTAATACCTCCCCCACCACCCGCCCATCCGCCTACCTACCACGTATAGGACTATAAAATCCTGAGGAAAAAAAGCACTTAAAAGAACAGGCTGGAAATGTTTCAGGAAACCCCTTTCTCTACTTACTCTCCACTTGTTCATTCAACAAAGGCCCAAAGGTGACAGGAAGAGAAGCAAGGAGCAGCAGACATTAGCTCTCTGTAGCTTTTCCCTGGCCATCAACTAGCTTCTCTATTACCACTCTGAGATGACTGAGAGAGACAACGGCAAGGAGACAAGAACCCTGGACTGTCAGACAAATCCAGGGAATGCAGCAGAGAAAGCAAAAGCAGCGAGAAAGCAAAAGCAGCAGGGGCCTGGTCAGGGAGCAAAGATGGAAATGAGGAGAGCAACTGGGAACCCCTGTGAGAAAGCATGGCCAGAGAGGAAACTAGGACATGGGACCGGATGGACAGCAAATTGTATTGGGGGGGGGGGGGTGGCGGGGGGAAGGTCTCCAAAGTCCACAGAGAATCAGCAATTTGGCTAAAGCATGTATGAATAATTGGGAATTAACTGTATACACAAAAGATTTCACCTCATTTACCACAGCAGCTAGATAAACATCATACTAAATTAAATAAGAGGCTATTCACCCACAACCAAACCGAGACCATTTGTCTTCATTCTCTACTAAGATTTTTAAAGAAATTTCACCATGCCTTTGCTGTCGCCCTCCCAATCTGTATAAGGCCCCTGTTTGTTTGTCTTGATGAGGTCGATTCCACTTCTCAAGACTGAAGTCTGAATAGCACTACATTAATCCAGATGCTCTTTCTAAAAGTCTTTCAAATTCAAAGATTCCAAACATTAACATAAAGATACTCAGGGACCAGCTGTTGCAATTAACAAATTGTTTATATGTTCCTTTCTGTTGGCTTAAAAAGTACTAGAAGGAATTTTAAGCAAGATGAGACTGTCATTCAGATTTGGGAGTTTTAAATAGATGGTTTTCATGTTGTTCAGGCTAAAAATAATAGTGTGTATGTCAGACTTCTTGTAAACAGGCTTCAATTCACAAGACTCAGTCTAACTAAGTGGCAGTCTCACCATGCTGTAGAAAACAAAGCATGCAGAAACCAAATTATTTCTGGAATAAGCTCAGTATTTGGAAACTTAATCATTTAGACCTGTCTCTCTAGAGAACAAGAGTAGTCTTCCCCAAATATGCTTGAATGCCTTGGATCCTAACAGGTTCAATAATGAATTCGCTCTTTGGTAAAAGAGAATGAGAGTCATTCTGCATGCAGAGGTGTGAAAGTGGCACAGTCTTCACAGCCCCCACCACATTCCTCCCACCTAAGGAGGTGCCACAGAGTACAGACACATTTCCCGCAATGGGCATCTTTTTCTGCACCCATGAATGGATTCTCAGTTCGCTGACGAACTCGAGAGTTTTCCCCGTAAATAACACATTCTTAAAACATGCTACATCAACACTGAATGAGTTTCACTGGCAGCTCCTACTATTCCATTTCAGTACTCCTGCAACAGCAAAAGCCTTCTATTCCTAGGACATCGGGAGGCTTCCCACCCCGCGCCCCACCCCTCCCCCAGACAGGGTCTTGCTCTGTTGCCCAAGCAGGAACACAGTGCCACAATCACAACTCAAACAGCCTTGACATCCCAGGCTCAAGAGATCCTCCCACCTCAGCCTCCTGAGTAGCTGGGACTACAGGTATGCACCACTATGCCTGGCTAATTTTTTTTATTTTTAATTTTTTTAATTTTTTTTTTTTTTTGTAGAGACAAAGTCTCATTATGTTGCCCAGGCTGGTCTCAAACTCCTAAGTGCAAGTGATCCTCCCGCCTCGGCCTCCCAAAGTGCTGGTATTACAGGTGTGAGCCACCACACCATGCCTACAGAAGGCTTTAAACATTTCCAACGTGAGTCATACAGTAACTCAAAAATTACACGTTGTCTTCTCTTACAAGCAGTGACTTCAAAGAACACATCAAATTCTTCCATATGGTTGTTTACTTCTTGTAACTTCATAGAGAAGTCTCTATTAAGGTGTTTGGTAACCCTTGGTTTTTATTTTTAAATGGTTAAAGTTTAGGACCCCCACGATAAAAGAATCTGTGATACAAAGCTTGGGAACACCTCTAGAGAGATGTCCAAAAGAAGGAACAGATAACCTTATGACAAGCAGAAAAGGGAGTTCTATAAACTCCCTGTCTTTTAACCCCTGAGCAAATGTCTCAGCATATTCTGCCATCGTTTCGCTTTATCTCTAACTCTATACTCTAATTCCAGTTTTTTTTTCCTCTGACTTCTGAAAAGGGGAAAGGGAAATTCCCTTGAGAAAAACAGTTTTCTATAAATGACTTCATTGAAATTTTCTCACAACACACTAAAGAACCATTTCAGTGCCAACATTATACAGGCACTAAATTAATATAAGTGCCCAATTAATATAAGATTAAATACAGCTATAGTAAAACTGAAATCCTCAGAGTAGAATACACCCTAAGTAACTCACTCCTAAACTTTCCTTATTCTTTCATTGAGGAAATGTCGAAGAATATGAAAGAAGCAAAATAGGTCCCTTATATTTAAATGGTGACCATTTGCAAAACCATGACTTAATAGAACAAGTGGAAAATAGATGACCTGAGCGATATAAATGCATATAAAAATAGGCACTGAAACATCAATCAGTATGTCTAAACCTATATATTTATGTTAAGCTATTTCACATGTAAGGTTTTTAAAGAATCTGGGAGTTCCCCAGGCAAGCAAGTTCTTGGAACCCAGTATTTTTGCTGGATTCCCATAGAAAGATATCTCTTCAATACCAGTTCTACTTCATTTCTTCCCTGGGACCAGTCAGATATGCTCCTTCCCCCAGGAAACATATTCCCCCAGGAACAATGACAACAAAAAAGGATCTTTGAATTATCCCTCAGATTTGTAATTTTGGACACTCTTTACTTTGTCACACTAAAAATAACCCAGAAATTGAAATCTAGGTAATTGTAGCTATTCCTACTTTTAATCTTAGATATTCTTTACTTCGCTGTTCCTTACTTGATCCCTTTTTTCTTCTTTTTAAATCTAGAAATTAAGATCTAGGTAAGTTTTAGTCATGGGTTAGGTACAGGTACACTTGACGAAAAATTTCCCACAAGCAACAAACAAGAAATAGACAATGCCTATTTTGAGAGATGCTTTAGAAAACACATATCAAATTCTAAACCCCTTACGCCATCATCTGCTTACTGACAGCAGTAAGAGCTGCTAAATGATTTCGGTGTTTGGGTGTCTGAATGCTGATAGCAGAGCATATGTTTGCAGGTACACAATATTTTCTTTTTATGAGAGGCGAAGGAGGAGGAATGGAATGATGGCTAGGCACAACTGCTCTCTTAAAATAATAAACCTTAAAATGTCTCTAGTCAACCACAGCATACCTATTTTGCTACAAACATATCTACTTTCACCATACTTCCACCTCTCATGCTGGCTTCCATTTACCTCCCAGGACAGTGGTGCTAAAGTACAGGGCAGACATGGGGTAAAACCCTGTACACATCTGCTGTTTATAGGGGAAAACCCCACTATTGGATTTTTTTTTTTTTCATTTCAAAGTCCTTTTATTAGTAATGTATACAGCTGTTTTCTCTTGGCTAATAATCAGAACAGCAACATTCATGCATGCTGACTCCAGGCATAAATAATATGCCATGCTGTTTTTGCTCAGCTGTAAAGAACTGGAATTCTGAGAGTCAGGGGAGATGCCTCTGCACTTTCCAAAAAAAAAAAAAAAAAAGTTAATACAGCTGTTTTCCTCTCAGGAATGCCAAAAGAATGCAATTCCTCCCTCTAAACCTCCCCCAACCCCATCTCCACCAATACTGTGTTCCCTGTTCATGCCAGTGTGCAAAGAGAGTTTTAAAAAGATACCCCATTCTTTAATAAAAAGAATAGAGAAAAAAATACTGGGCATCGAAGTTTCCAGTAGTAATATGTGCCACATCTACAACAAGGAAAAAATGAAAATGAAGTGGTATTTTTTGCTAAATAAGAAGTGTGCACACTAGACTGTAAATGACATAAAACACCAGTTAATTTCAGAGAAGATAAATACATGCTTTTGAACCAGGTGTTTTTAAAGTCTCCATCAGCACTTTCCAAGCCTATCTTAATATAATTACATGAAATGTTTATGTACTTGTCTGGCATGTTGCTTTGTTTTCTAAATAAAGGAGCAACTTCAGTTTGAAATAATGGACACAGGAACCTCCACTTTCCATTTCTGTAGGCTTCTCCTCTCAGCTCAGCTTACCACTTTTGTAGAGCCACATAGACCCTGCACAGAAGGCCTTTGTATATAGGTCTCAGCCACATATCTTCATGCAGCCCCTGGCAAAGTCCTCCAAGGAGTCCCTTTATTTTCTGACTGAACACAAAGGTTTTATCTTACAGTAAACAGAGAAGACATTTAACATTAGAGCAATACTAAGACAGTAATACCATAAAGGTGGCTCAAAGGTTTGCATAATGAATATCTATTGTCTTGGTTTCAACTCAAAACTAGCTATTTAAAAAAAGAGCTCAATAATGGGAAGGTACTGTTTCATTACCTGAAAGTTACATTTACAAAACATGTTTCATCTGAGCCCTTCTGCTGACTTATCTAGGCAGCTTGGAGAAGACAACCACGCAAAAGGAGTCGAAACAATATACAACCCTATTTCTTTGTAAGATTCCCCACAGTCTCAATCCACTTGTAGCTTGCCTCTTTCATAGTCTCTGCCAAGCCCACCTGGCTACTGGAACAGCTAGGAGGGGTACCAATCAGGTATCTCTTTTTCTTCTCTCCCAATCAGCTCCAGGGATCCTATTGGAATGGAGACTGGGGACAACTACAGGGATGTACGAAATAATTCATTTACAATCAATACATTGCTTGCAAATTCAGTTGCTTACAAATTCATTCTTGCTCATCTTCCTGGTCCCCAACCACTGTCACAGCAAGGTGAAGTCCTGGTATCTGCTTTGGCCCAAGAAGAGCCTCCTGGCAACCATGGCTTGTTGACTTGGGCAAAGCGGAACACGGGGGAAGGAGAGAAACAAACATATGACCTGTCCACAATCCCAAATATTCTATATTCAACTGAGAGTAACAGAGGAGATACTGCCAGTTCCTTGGAAGGAAAATGTTGCAGGAATCTTTACAGAATTAGGAAATAATTTTCCCCTCTGGGCTTACATTTATATTTTCAATAAAAGCTAGAGGGGAGGAAGAAAACAACTTTGCTTATATTTTTAATATACCTTTTAAATAACATAGATAACGAAATTTAAACAAACAAAAAAAATAGATTGGAATGTTAGGAGCTCCACTAGAAGCCAGTTCTGTGTAAAACAGCAGAGGACGGGACAGAAACCGCAGCTGCAGTGGCTTAAATTGATATGTTGGAGTCAAGAGTGGCTTTTAGGTTCCCTTAGTTTAAAAAATCCTATTTTAAGTTTAATCAAGCAATGAATTTCCTTCTTTGTGGCAAGCATAAAATGTAAAGACACATGAGAATTTTATAAAGTGCCGTTTAAATGGGAATAGGAACAGTCAGCTTTTGGAATGGGGAACAAAGTAACTCATCCAGTGGAAGTGAAATGAGCAGAGCAACTGCTAGGCACCTGTGCAGCTTTTCTCACTCACTCGTAGGTAACATGCTTCCCAATGAGACCAGCTCAATGCAGCCCACTCTTTGAAAAGTGTGGGTATCATAAAGTCATTCCCTGTAAGAAGGTTTCTCTGCCGGCGTGGCCCCATCCATGGAGTGGTTTTTAATTACTTGATACTGGCTAAGTAGCCAGGAAGTCTGACTCATCTCCACTGCTCTTCAAGGTTGCTCTCCAACAAAGTTACCTAATTCCTGCAATAAACAAAACTAGCCAGCTTAAAAAACATCACTCTAGGAAGCATTTAACCCCTGCATTTATCTTAGTATCTTGTTACTGACTACACTGTCCGATGCCTCCACTACCAAACATACCAGTTAGCTCCTACAGGCAGGCCTCACTCAGCAAAGATCATTCTGCAGAAGGCTGCAGCACATTCCGGAGCGCCGCTCAGGCAACCCCTTCACTTGCTCCTTTGGTGGGCTCGAGTATGCCCCTGGTGGCACTGAGGTCGACATGGCATTCCACATCCTCCAAGGGTTCAAAGCACCTTTTGGACAGACATGACCGAGTGCTGACGTGGGCTTGCTGGTGAAGAACCTCAAACATCAGTGATGCACTCTGGGGTGTGGCTGAAAATACGAATGTCTGACACAGACAAAACTTTTATGTCAAGGTAGGAGAGGGAAAAACACTTGAGCAATCTAGCTTAGCTCTTACAACAGTGAGCCAAGCTGGGCACAGTGGCTCGCGCCTGTAATCCCAGCACTTTGGGAGGCCGAGGCAGGCAGATCATCTGAGGTCAGGAGTTCAAGATCAGCCTGGCCAACATGGTGAAACCCCGTCTCTAGCAAAAATAACAAAAATTAGCCGGGAGTGGTGGCGCCGCCTGTAGTCCCAGCTACTCGGGAGGCTGAGACAGGAGAATCACTTGAACCCGGGAAGCGGAGGTTGCAGTGAGCCGAGATCGCGCCACTGCACTCCAGCCTGAGTGGCAGAGACTCCATCTCAAAAAAAAAAAAAAAGTAAAAGAAAAAGATACACAGCAGCACAGTATTTCCATCACACAGACATGATAGAAACTTTAAAAGCATAGATATATAGCAACACTTGAAATAACAGGAAGTGATGAGTATATATTATCAGTTATTAAATATAATTTAACTTGTAAGCTTGTATATTTTAACATTTAACAATGACTATGTTTAACAACCGCTCATAGAATGTCTGAAAATTTAACTGTCAGTTCTCGCATGTGATAGAAGCTATCACCAGCATACCACTGACATGTCAGCTCAGTACTACTCCATCCTACTAGGGCAAAGGTGCCATAGAATGGTAGAGAAATATGAACTCCTTCTCTGGTTCCCACAACTTCAAAATAGCAGGAATCAGAATAAAAGAAAAGAGGGCTAATCTGGTAGAGTCTTTTTATAAGATGAGTAGGAGAGCAGGAAAGGCAGACTGCTGTATGTGACCACCAGGCTTACAGGAGCAAATCATGCTGGGATATGGCAATATGTATAACAGCTGGTATCAGTTTTACTTTTTTCTAGTTGCTTTCACTGACTAAATATAACAATTTGAAAAGTGAGGGTAAAAAGTGCATACATAAGATTTATTATATGCTCATACTATGAGCTGCCAAAGAATACAGTCATCAGCATCAGCATGTTCTGTATAGAGAAAAGACCTACATCATAGCATTACAACAGCTGCCAGGTAAACACCACTGGAATATGTCCACTTTTTCAGAGAGGTGTAACTCGAAATGATCTCACAACAGTGGTCCCCAACCTTTTTGGCACCAAGGACAGGTTTTGTGGAAGACAATTTGTCCCATGGATGTGATGCGGTGGCAGGGCTTTGGGATGAAATTGTTCCACCTCAGATTATCAGGCATTAGATTCTTATAAGGAGTACGCAACCTAGATCCTTCACATGCGCAGTTCACAATAGGGTTCGTGCTCCTATGAGAGTCTAATGCCACTGCTGATCTGACAGGAGGCAGAGCTCAGGTGGTAATGCTCGTTTGCCTGCCACTCACCTCCTGCTGTGTGGCCTGGTTCCTAACATGCCACAGACAGGTACCATCCATGGCCCAGGGCTTGGGGACCCCGGTCTTAGAAAACTTAAAAGTACTGCAGTGAAAAGAGCTCATAGGCTGTGGAAAGCATAAAAACTACATGCAAATCTCAGTAGATTCCATTAACTAGCGATGTTATCTTAGGCAAAAGTAAAACCAACCAGTATATCCACGTGCCAGGGCACCATGGTTTATACTGAAGACACAAGGGTGAACCAGGCAGAACCAGTGAAACTGCAACCCTCTTGGAGTCTATATTCTTTTTGAGACAGTCTCATTTTATTGCCCAGGCTGGAGCGCAGTGGTGCCGTCTTGGCTCACTGCAACCTCTGCCTCCTGGGTTCAAGCGATTCTCGTGCCTCAGCCTCCCGAGTAGCTAGGACTACAGGTGTGCACCAACATACCCAGCTAACTTTTTTATTTTTAATAAAGATGGGGTTTCGCCATGTTGGCCAGACTGGTCTTAAACTCCTGACCTCAGGTGATCCGCCCGCCTCAGCCTCCCAAAGTGCTTGGATTATAGGCGTGAGCCAATGTACCCGGCCCTTAAGTGTATATTCTAGAGTACAAACAACGCAATATTTAAGAGCTCTGGTTTCCTTATCTATAAAATAGGCTAGTCACTATTCCAACCTTGCAGTGCTACTGGGATAATTAAATGAGACAATGTAAACGGCATAAAGAACATTTTTCACTTTTCCTTCACTATCTAAATGTGCTTCTTTCGTAGAAAAGCAAATGACAACAATATTTTCTTTTTTAAAATTATCTTCTCTGGCAAAGATATGAAGAGGAACAGAGATAAATGGACCCCCCTCCCCCCACCCACCCGCCAAATTCTGAACTCTTTGAATAGGTTATTAGGAGACTACCAAGAGTTGTTTGTTTTTCCAGAGGCAAGGTCTCCCTATGTTGCCCAGGCTGTAATGCAGTGGCTATTCACAGACACAATCATAGGGCACTGCAGCCTCAAACTCCTGGGTTCAAGCAATCCTCCCACCTTAGCCTCCTGAGTAGCTGGGACTACAGGCACAGGCCACTGTACCTGGCTAAGAGTTCTTACAGGTCTCGATTCTTTAGCTATTACCTTAGATGGTCGTAATTATTCTTTAGAGAAAAATGAACACAGGATTCTCGTGGATCTAGATTCCAGCAAGGCTGGAACAAGCAGACTGTCACGAGAGCACACACATTTCTCAAGTGAATCACTTTAGATGCTAATGGTAAGGAGCATTTCAATGGTGGGAGGTCAAACCGCTCTACACACCTTATATGGTCTCACACAATCCTGTGAAGGCGAATAATCACTCATTCATTTCATTAAGTAATTCCACAAAAAATTTAGAGGGCCTCCTCTGTGGCAGATACTGATTGAGGAACTAGAAGCATATAGCAGTGATCAAAATAGTCCAATATATACTGGGAAAAGTCAAAGGTTCACAAGCCCAGCTATAAGATGGTGGCCTTCCCAATTCCGATGAAATGAGTGGCTTCGAAATGATGACTTTTTTCACCAATGTAAAGCAAATTTGCAAAGACTACTCTTCTTCTCTATAGGAAAGGTCTAAAGGATTCTATGTTTCCTAAATTGTCAATATATTTATTAATATAAATCAGAGCACTTTAGGCCCTTCATGCATAAAAGATTAGCTCTCATTCACCTAGGAAACAAATATTCTCAAAAGAATAAAAGCAACCATTTGTTAAAAGAACAAAATGAAACACTCCCTTCTGATAACTAAGGTATTTTTTAGTACATATGTATGTTAAAATATTCCTGAATTTCTGAATCTAATGTAATTATTATGAATATTATAGGAAAATTCAAGAGAGTGAACATTCGTGTCATGTAAGTAAATAATGCCTGGCAGTTTCTCATTTTGGTAACTACTTGTAAACATTATTCTCTAATGTGGACATCTTCTGAGATGGTTTATATAATGGGATCTTACTTGTGGGAAACAGAAGAAAAATTTATTGACCTTAGAACTGAGATTTCATGTAGTTAAAAATGAAAACTCACTTCTACTCTGTATAGTACAGTATGAAAGTTCAATCTACAGTATGAAAATTCAATCTAGAGTGAGATTATAAGATATTGCAATTATTAAATATATTCATGGAACAATAAACTATATTTTGGTATAAAACATATTCAATCACACAACCAAAACAAAAAAATGGAAAGCTATTCAGCAGTCCCATTTAGATTCCCAGTGTCAGTAAAGAATCTGCTGAATTCACTTTTCCTTGAAACTACTCCCTCTCCATCAACAAAAAAATTAATTGACATACAGAATTGACTTTTGGGTAGGCTTTTCTTACAGCAGGTAGAACATAAATATTCCTGGCTAGATGTGGTGGCTCACACCTGTAATCCTAGCACTTTGGGAGGCTGAGGTGGGAGGATTGCTTGAGGTCAGAAGTTTGAGACCAGCCTGGGCAACATGGTGAAATCCCATCTCTAAAAAAGATACAAAACTCAGCCATGGTGGCGCATGCCTGTAGTCCCAGCTACTCCGGAGCCTGAGGCAGGAGGATTACTTGAGCCCAGGAGGTTGAAACTGCAGTGAGCCATGATCGTGCCACTGCACTCCAGCCTGGGCCACAGAGTAAAACCTCTATGTCCAAACAAACAAATAAAACCATAACTATTCCTAAGATATCTTGAAAAATATATAATACTTAAGAGTAAGGTGAGCACGTGTTGCTAACTGAAAGCCATAATAGAACACTTGCAATGAGACAGAAAATATTTCCCCCTATAACAAACTTAAATTCATCTACATTCAGGAACTGGAAATAAACACAGTAATTTGTTACCTTTTCTTTCTAACACAGTACACGAATCACCTGACAGGATGATATATTACTTGTAGTTATTTCTTTTAAGTTAAAAAACAAACAACCAAACAAAACAGCAAAAGCTCCAGTGAGAATGCACTACATATTATGAAACTTTGCTCTCATAGAAGTCATATGCTGAGTATTCGGTCAATTCTTAATCTCATACAAATAAAATTCTGCTTTCACCCCATTTCTTCGCACTTAAATAATCTTATTTGTTCTCATTAAATTAAGCAAGATTTGTTTTACATTACTATTAAGTTTTTTTAAGTTTTAGAATATTGAGTTTTCCTCAGTAAACTTCTTCCTCTGGCAAAAAATGCCACATCTTTCAGCACTTTGGCCCACATGTACACTCTGACACACTCATGCACACACACATATAGGTATTACTTCCTAATATTGAGAATACTTTGAACTAGATGTTGTAAATTCCTCTTAGGGATAAATACTTAATTCACCATAAATAAATGACAATTTATATATTGGGCTTAGAATCAATATGAGCAAACTACAGACTTATTGCTTGTAGCATATCAAGTTGGTAAACTAAATAAGCAATTCCATAAATTTTAAATTTTATTATACAAAAATGTGTAAGGCCAGATAAAACCATAGGATCAAAAATAATCTGACAGTACTCATCATCTAAGTGATCAAGTTCTCAGTCAGAATAACCTAAAGAATGCTACTAGCTCAATGAATTTTCACTAGCCCAAATATGATTTTCAGGTAGCCCAATGTCCACTTTTCTTTGAGAAAATAAAAAAATCTATAACTGCAAATGCACTGGGTGAAAAGGTAAAAGTAATAATAAAACTCAAGCGAGATTAAATTTAAACCACAATGAGATACTGCTACAGAAGCAACCAACAGACTGTCAAAACTGCTAAAAGTCTGAATGTACCAAAGGCTGGTAATGCTGTGGGAGAAAAGATTACAACATTTTTAAAAAGACTCTGGCATTATCTAGGAAAGCAGTAATTCTACTCCTTGGTAACTATTTTGAAGAAACTCTTACAGACCTGAAATATCCACAAGAATATTCATAGCAGCCCTGCTCATAATACCCAAATATCAGAACCAACCTAAAGGTTCATCAGGAGAACACAGAAGCTAGAAAACTACACAGTAGCAAAAAAGAAAAAAAATGAACGAACAGCTACCCACAATATCTTTGAAATGTTAAGCAAAAGAAGTCACTGAAGAATACATATAGTATGTTTCCATTTATGTGAAGTTCAAAAACAGGCAACTTCAAGCTCATGTTTTGGGGTAGCGGTGTTGGATGCATGTGTGCGTGCATGTGTGTGTGTTTGTACATACAGTAAAACTATAAAGAAAAACAAAATGATACAAAGAAAAGGAAAATCATCAAAAAGTGATTTAATTTGTTAATGATTATTAATGTTTACAATGCTAACATATTTTCAGTCATGTTCATTATTAACTGTTACTTAGAACTGTAAATTTCTACTCTATGATGTGGGTGGGTTATATGGGTGTTTGCTTTATAATTCTATTTTTTTTTTTCCTTATATGAGATATAGTCTTGCTCTGTTGCCCAGGCTGGAGTGCAGTGGCACGACCATAACTCACTGCAGCCTCAAACTCCTGGGCTCAAGTAATCTTCTCATCTCAGCCTCCCAAGTAGCTAGGACTACAGGTGTGCACCATCATGCCCAGTTAATTTTTTTAAAAAAATTTTTGTATAGACAGAGTCGTTGCCCAGGCTGGTCTCAAACTCCTGGCTTCAAGCAATCTTCCTGCCTCAGCCTCCCAAAGCGATGGAATTACAGGCATGAACCACCATGCCCAGCTATTAATTATTCCTTATACATATATTTTATGCATTCTTATGTATGTGTGACACATCTCAAGATTTAAAAGATTAGATTTGAGCTTCTAAAACAATTATTTCTGTGGTATCATGGTGGTTTGGTTAGTGCTATGATCAGAAGTCAAGGTAAGAGACAAATAGACAAGCTGGTCCTAGCACAGAATTTCATTACAGCTCAGAGCCATATCATAGCTAACCATACCCTACTTCCTTAAGTATGTGAATGCCGATCCCTGGCAGGAAAAACATCAACAATGCAAAGGAATTAAAAAACACATAAAATTGTATTACAGACCAAAAAAAAAAAAAAAACCAGGTAATAACAAGTGTTGACAAGAATGTGAAGAAATCGGGAACCCTCATACACTGCTGGTGGGAAGATAAAGTGGTACAGCTGCTTTGGAAACAGTCTGGCCATTCCTCAAATGGTTAAATACAGTTACCATAAGGCCCAGCAATTCCACTCCTAGGTATATACCCAAGAGTAATAAAAATATATATTCACCCAAAAACTTGCACATAAATGCTCATAGCCACGGTATTAATAGCCAAAAAGGGGAAACAACCCAAATGTTTATCAGTTGATGAATGGATTAATACAGTGTGATACATCCATATGCTGGAATATTATCTGGCAATAAAAAAATGAAGAACTGACACATGCTACAAGTACCCTTAAAAATTATGCTAAGAGGCCGGGCGCGGTGGCTCATGCCTATAATCCCAACACTTTGGGAAGCCGAAGTGGGTGGATCACCTGAGGTCAGGAATTTGAGAACAGCCTGGCCAACAGGGTGAAGCCCCGTCTCTACTAAAAATACAGAAACTGGCTGGGCATGGTGGCGCATTGCCTGTGGTCCCAGCTACTCAGGAGGCTGAGAAAGGAGAAATCGCTTGAATCTGGGAGGCGGAGGTTGCAGTGAGCCGAGATCACACCACTGCCCTCCAGCCTGGGTAACAGAGAGAGACTCTGTCCCCCCCCAAAAAAAAAAAAATTATCCTAAGAGGACAATCACAAAATACCACATACTATATGATTCCACTGAAATGTCCAGACAGAATAAGCAACTCTCTAAAGATAGAAGGTACATTACTGGTGGCCTAGTGCTGGGGATGTAGGGGAATCAGGGGTAACTGCTAATGGGAATGGAGTTTTGTAGGTGATGAAAATGCTCCAAAACTGACTGTAGTGATGGATACACAATATATGAAACCACTGAACTGTATGCTTAAATAGGTGAATTGTATGGTATGTGAATTATATCTCAACAAAATTGTTATGAAAAATTGCATTACAGGTGATCACTACCACAGTCAAGGCACAACAGTGTCAGACATTGTCAGGCTTCGGTAAATACACGCATGTGTCCAGTGAACTTCTACATTCAGCAGCTGAGAGAGATCTGACTGGCTAGTCATAAACCTAAAAGCTGTATCAAATGGCTTTGTTTCCAATTCTTGGTCTGGTAATCAATAGGTTTTGATTCTATTCATCAGAGGCTGGGCCAGAATCCATGTTAGCCTTTAGAATGCTCTAAATCATATATGCATGCAAAGCAGTTTCTTCTACAAGTGACCCACAGCACTCTTTTCTGAAGTGATTTTCCAGGACTCTCCATGAGAGGAAAATCTGAAACTCACTAAATTCATTAACCAGAAGGCTTCATTGTGCTTTCTTGACTTCATATGTAGAGATTTTTTTCCAAACCACACTGGAAAATAACAGGATTGGAAAAGCGATCAGTCGGTTCACATTCCATCCCACCAATATTCAACAGCCTGCTCAAATTCAGATGTGAAATTAAAACACTTCCAATGGGGTTCAATCCTGCTTCTAATGACAGTTCTATATAACAGTTAATAATGAACACAACTAAGAAATTACAGAAATAACATACCAAGAATAGTCACTGACAAAAATAAGATTAAAAAACAAACTTTCTAAAAGTAAAATTCAAAATTACTCCTGGTTCCCTCCTTTTTTGGTAATCTTATGCTGTTTCTCTTTTATTTCTTTTGAATTTATTGTATCTTGATATATACTATGCACATTGGAAAGTTCACAAAAATTCTTTCAACGGCAAATTCGGGACAAAAAAATAAAATAAAATCCAAAGGCAAAAATAGGAATTCCTTCCATTACTCTGGATTTATGACAGTTGTGGCCAATATAAATGTTTAGTAATAATTTGCTATTATGCAGCATCTTTATTTTTAAAACCTGATAAAAATAACCAAAGGCCAATATTATAACAATAAAAGTTTAATTCTATTCTTTATAGATGAGTATACTTTAAAATACGTATAGATTATTCTATTAATCTTGCTCCACTATTGGATCATGGCCCCCTAGCCCAAACTGACATTTCTGATTTACAGTTGGCTGTAAATTTCTCTGTTCCAGGGCAACTCTAAAAGGAGCTGGCCAATATTAGTGAAATTCGGAAAGCAGTATTCATGCCCTTGATTGTTAGCAGCTCTTCTGTAAGATTTCACATGACTTCTTAGGGTTGGGGTGTAAACCCTAGAAGATGTTAACATAACCACAGCAGGGACCAGTCCTAGTAGCAGGCTGGTGATGAAAATGAGGAACAAAGCCACAGAGAGGGAGCCAAGGGAAATGCAAAGTCAGTCCCTGGGAGGCACAAGAGGCAGCTCCGCCCCTGTAAGTGGGAAGCCAAAATCCACAACAGGCAAGGCCCAGTGAGCACAGCCTATTTCAGTCTAATTCCAGGCAAAGGTCTATGAACAGAGGTTCCTATTCCAGGGAGCTGGAAGGAGGCATAGTTTTGTATAGTGTGTAGTACTGTGTAATAGTAATGCCCACTGCTGCCCTTGGCTTCAGGACCATGCCAGATGAAAAAGAGTGAAAACAGGTTTACAGGCAGGCGAGAAGGCTGACAGAGTATCCACTGGTGAGGCTGATTCTGGTCAGCCCCTGCCGGCCTCCCCCACCTTCCCAGTGACCCAGGACAATCTGCAGATGTGCCAGCCCATTTATAAAAGGGTCCTGATTTTCCTACCTGTAAAATGTGATGGTTAAATGAATTGACCTCTACCACCTCTCTAAGTCTAAAATGGTGTACTATCTATGTTATCTTAAGATAAAGGAACATATATAAGGCTTCAGTACAGCAGATGAGATTTCTTAAAATACACAAACGAGTGGCTAACTTTTTAAAATGAATCCAGAACCTAACTTTTTTCTCAAAACCTTTTGCTCATATGGCTTTTTTGATCATCAATAGCTATTACTGACAAACCCAAACAAACCCAAAGATCTAGACTTCATTATCAATCCAGGCTTCAGAGACAGCTGTACAGAACTTTAGACTTACAAACCAAATTACTTAACTCATATTCACTTTTCTGAATATTTACTTTGTGGTTTTCCTACTGATTTTCTCAGAATAAGTTGGAGATGACCCAAAGCTCCTAAATAACTCTTGGTTATAGGCACTAGTTTACGGAGAGCTGGCATCTCTCTCTTGGGTCCTTATTTACCTAAATATCTCAGATAAAATTCACTTTAGAGTGAATAGGATGCAATGTTAAGACTTACTATGTAGCTACAGTAATCAAGACAATGTGGTGTGGGAGGAGGGATACAGTGATCACACAGTTCAACCAAGCCAGGAACAGAGGACCTGGAAACAGACACACACCAATATACCCAAATAATTTTCTTTTTTGAGACAGGGTTTCGATCTTGTTGCCCAGGCTGGAGTGCAATGGTGCGATCCTGGCTCACTGCAACCTCCGCCTCCCAGGTTCAAGGGATTCTCCTGCCTCAGCCTCCTGAGTAGCTGGGATTACAGGCATGTGCCACCACGCCCAGCTAATTTTTATATTTTTAGTAGAGAGGGGGTTTCACCATGTTGTTCAAGCTGGTCTCGAACTCCTGACCTTGTGATCTGCCCACCTTGGTCTCCCAAATGCTGGGATTACAGGCGTGAGCCACCATGCCCGGCCCCAGATGATTTTTAACAGAGGTGAAAAGTGATGCAAGGGAGGAAAACAGTATTTTCTAAAATATTGCTAGAGCAACTGGACATTGATAGAGGAGGTGGGAAAGGAAGATAAGGGAGGAGGGAGAGGAAGAGGGGAGGGAAGGAGGAGGAGAAAGAGAAGAAGAGCCTTTCAACCTAAACCTCACACATTATACAAAAATTTACTCACAATTAATCATAGACTTCCATGTAAAACTATAAAACTTGTAGGGAAAACAAAAAGGAAAAAAATCTTTGGAGTCTGGGAGTAGACAAAGGTCTTTAGACTTCACACCAAAACCATAAGAGGAAAAATTGTCAAATTGGATGTCATCAAAATGAAAAACTTTTTCCCTGCAGAAGAACCTGTTAAAGGAGGGAAAGACAAGAAAGTATTTGCAAATTACATATCCAAAAAAGGCCTTGTGTCTAGAATATATAATGAACTCTCAAAACTCAGCAGTTAAAAAAAAAATTCAAACAATCCTATTAGAAAATGGGTGAAAAACAAGGACATTTCATCAAAGAGGAGATACGGAAGGCAAATAAGCACATTGAAAGATGCTCAAGATTACTAGCCATTGAAGAAATGTAAATCAAGGCCACAGTGACCATTAAAAACATCAGACCAAATGCTGACAAGGATGAAGAGAATCGGGATCACTTGTACATGGCTGATAGAAACATAAAATAGTACAACCACTCTGGAAAATTTTGTCAGTTTCTTATAAAACGAAACATTCAATTATAATAATAGGCTATAGCAGTGTACTCTTGGGTACTGTCTTAGTCCATTCAGGCTGCTGTAACAAGACTACCATAGACAAGGTAATTTAGAGATGATAGAAATGTATTGCTCATGGTTCTGGAGACTGGGAAATCCAAGATCAAGGCACCAGCAGATTCAATGCCTGGTGAAAGCCCGTTCCTCATAGATGGCACCCCTCCATGTGTCCACACAGGGTAGAAGGAGTGAAAAAGGTCCCTCTGGTCTCTTTAATCATGGCACTAATCCCATTAATAAGGGCTGAGTCCTCATGATAAAATCAGCCCCCAAAGGCCCCACCTCTTAATACCATCACGTTGGAGGTTAAGTTTTAACCTATGCATTCTGGGGGAACACAAACATTCAGACCTCAGAAGGCATTTATCCCAAAAAACTAAAAGTCATGTTCAAGCAAAGCCAGAACTATCAAATGTCCTTCAACAGGTTACACTGATTCATGTATATGATGAAATCCTGCTCAGCAATATAAGAAATAAGCTATTGATACACAAAACAAATGGATCTCAAAGAAATTAGGCTGAGAAAACAGCCAATCTCAAAAACTTATATCCTGTGAGATTTCATTTACATGACACTATTGAAATAATTTAGAGATGGAGAACAGATGGGTGGTTACTAGGAGTTAGGGATAGCAGGAAGAAAGGGGAGTGGCTATAATGGGCTAGCACAAGAGAGCCTTTTGGTGCTAGAACCACTCCATATTTTAATTATGGTAGTGATTATTACAAATCTGAATGAGTTCCGTGGACTGTACTCATGTCTATTCCTGATTTTTATATTAAAATATAGTTATGCAAGATGTTACCATGAGGCAAAACTAAGTGAAAGATACATGGAACTTCCCTGCACATTTTTTGCCACTCCTTAAAAATTCATGATTATTTCAAAATAAAAGTTTGAAAAAAAAAATACCAGGAGCTTTGGTACCATCTTGGGTTCATGTTCTGGCTCTACCACTACTTTGGATAAGTTAGTTGGCCTATCTGGACCTTTGTTTCTTCATGTTTAAAATAAGGAAAATAATATTTGCTGGCAGCTTAGCGAAACTTAAGAAGAGAAAAAGAAAAATAACAACAGATCTCATCTCAGATAAATGGGACCAGATGGCAAGGTATTTTTCAAGAATAGTATCATATATGACACTGCTTGTATAATTAAGTTACACAATCCCCTTACAACTTTTCACAGTCCATTGATAAATGTGACTTTTCTTTTTGTAGACAATATTAGGTTTATACTTAAAAGCACTGTTATTAGAACAATAGCCATGTCACCATGCAGACCGGAATATTGAGGACAAGTAAACTTCTGATAGTCCGTAATCTGATGAAACACACCTCAAAAGGTTAAAAAAACATTCTACAAGGATAAGTGATTTGACCTGGAATTCGATACGGTTCATTTCCACATCAAGATCAAACAGATTAATTAGCTGCTTTTTAACCAAATAAATACTGGTTGCTTTAGAGAGCAGACAGTGGGGAAAAAAAAAAAAAAAAAACTTCAAAACTCAGCACTAGCCACTTTTCTCTGTAGATCCCTTTCATGGTTAGGTTTTCCAGGTTCAATTAGCAAAGGATACATACAAAGAAACGTTGAAGATCTTGGCTAGCAACTTGACACCCTCAGGCCTACCTGGTTCCTTCTTGCAACGCAACGGAAATTCCTGTGCCAGTCACTTGCTGGCTGCAGATCCCTGCCAGCCCATGTGAAAGCGGCTGCCAGCCTTCAGGCAGCAACCTGCCTGGCTATGTCTTGCGCACACTTCCTCTTGCCTCCATCCAAGACCAGAGGGAATGGCCACTTGGAGCCGATGGCTAATGGTGGGAACAACAGCAACTCGGAGCCAGATTTTGTCAAATTGTATTTGAGAAAAAGGAGAGAGGACAGGATGCCAAACAAATGACAGCCTTAGTTCTATTGCTCAAAACAATTTTATTTGTTTATGCAATTGATGATGGCAAAACACATGAGATTAATAAAAACTTTTTTTAATAAGGCAAAGAGACTTGTGAGGCTTTGTGAGGGCTCTGAAGTTTCATTTAAACAAAGAGTCTCCTGAAAATCTGTAATGCAGAAATTATCTCATTACCATCACACAAAAGAATGATCACCCCCCACTGACATGGCCTCCTACTCGCAGTTGTATTTGAAGAATACATTTACCAAAACCATTTAGAAAAAGAGTCTCTGGGCAATTTTTTTTCTTTTTCCAGTATAAGTTGAGGAAAAAAGCATATAGTTACATATACAGCTCTTCTGCCACTGCAACGGATTAACAGATAAGGCTGTTTCTCCCCTTCTAGTCCCGGACCAAGTACAAATCCAGCCTACAACAGTAACAACAAAATACCATAAATGATGTGGGTAACTTTCTAATTCCACCAAGGCATGGTTCAAGAAAATCAGAGCCTCTTTAAAGGAAATCAAGTGACTTTACTGAAAATGGAAATAGGCCTATTACATATTTAATATCCCATCCTCTCCATTCACTCCTATTTTGCTCTCTTTTCTTACAAAATTGTTTGCCCTGGGCAGAGGCTTCTGTTGACTGAGTTAGAGGCGAGCAATAGGAGAAAATGGCTTCCAGGAAAGGGGAAAACACTGGAAAACCTGGCCAATGTAAATGATTTCCAAAATCTGTTTGTAATCACAAGTCCACCTACCTACTAGACTTGAGGCTATGCAGGAAAGTCAGTGCTGAACCAGGAATGAGGTCAGTATGACAGACCTGAATCTGCCTTGGTTCTGTTCCATAATCTAGGCTGAACAATCCAGAAAACAAATGCAAGTGAATTGTGTAGACAACTGACACACCAGGAACTAAGGGTTACACCATATACCAAAACTCATCCAACAATCAGATTGGGATGCCACAGCTGTAAAGAGAATCAGGGAATCAAACTGCTTTCCTATCTCCAAAGAAGAATCCTCCACGAGAGGGACTTACTGAAGCTTAAACAAAGAAAACTGAGAAAGATTTTCCACTATCTAAGTCAGACAGTCTCCACATTCTCCCTATGACTTTGGCTGGGTATTTGAGGATCATCTTTGACTAAGTTCTCTTGGTAATTTTCCATATCCAGTTTCTGTAACTTAAAAACTTAACCATACTTTAAAATGCTAAGGGCTCTTCCTTTCAAAGCTTCCCTCCATCTCCAATCCTACTGCCGCCCCCCAGTGACCTCACACCTAGACTAATGAAACCACCTGGGCTGTTCTCTGTGGTTTCCAGCTCTGACCTACAAACACATAGAGTACATCACCAGCCCCCGACTTGTCCCACCAGCACCCCACTTGTTCCCACGCAGGGTGGGAAGCCATTACAGCAGCTCCTGGAGAGATCACGAAGGCTCAAAAGCAGGAGACAGATTAAAGTTATAAAACTTTTATTCCCAGGCACCTTGAAAGTTATCATAATGACCTAACACCGTGACCCTACCAAAGGTAAAATTCCCTCACCTATAAAATTAAGGTTGTAGATTTCATCAGTGGTTTCTCAATTAAGTATGCGGGAGTGTGGAATGGTCAGGGGAAGAGTTTCCAGGGCCACTACTAAAAGAAAGATGAGCAGCTGGGCTCCGGCCTCTCTGCCCTCAGTCAGCTCCACCTGCACGTTTTGTACAGTGGGCTTTCAGGTGGGAGTAACTGAAGACAAAGTTCTACGATCACTTCTTAGAAGAAACCATAGCCTGGGCACGGTGGCTCATGACTGTAATCCCAGCACTTTGGGAGGCGGAGGACGGCGGATCACGAGGTCAGGACCATCCTGGCCAACATGGTGAAACCCCGTCTCTACTAAAAATACAAAAATTAGCTGGGCATGGTGGCACGCACCTGTAGTCCCAGCTACTCGGGAGGCTGAGGCAGGAGAATGGCTTGAACCCAGAAGGTGGAGGTTGCAGTGCACCAAGATTGCAACATTGCACTCCAGCCTGGTGACAGAGCAAGACTCTGTCTCAAAAAAAAAGAAACCATTAACGGTCTCGATCAGATTACAATTAAAGTCCCATCTCACTCTAAAATTCTGTGATACTATGACTTTTGGGGGGCCTATTAGAAGACAGTAACAAGGAGCTGTCCTGGATGCCTTCAAATAAGCAAACTCAAAAAATATTCAGTAGTGGCTGAAACAAGCGCTTATCGAGCATCAAGCGGGAAGCTGACAGCACTGAAGGGAAAACTAGGCCACAGGATTTGCTCCTGAGCAGTTTCTCAGAGTCCTTTTCTCCAGTTCCTACCAAGTTGAGGGAACTTTTTCCACCAAGACACAAACTCTAGTCTTTTGGTTTAGGTTTTTGTTTCTTTACTACCTGTCTGCAGGATAGGGCTAAGAGCTCACATCGCCACCAACCTGTGCAACAGTGTGGCTGTGAAGGCTGCAGTCCAGTCTGGCCTCCTCAAAGCATCCTCTCAGATGTTTGAGACAGACTGGGGCTTACCCCAGAAGGTAACTCCTGCTGATAAGAAATCCTTCCTAGGGCCAAACAAATCACTGTTTGACTCTTGAGGCATTCTTCACTCCTGTTTTTCTTCCTCCTCCTTCCTTCCTATAAGAAAGGTGTCTTTTAAGTATATCTACCAGGAAACCTGAATAGTTAGGCGCTTTCCCCTCTGAATTTGTTCCGTATCCCGCTGGTGATTCATGCCCCCAGCCTGCTCCTTCCTCAGTACACTGAGGTGGCTCTGTTCTGCTCAGTTGTGGGAGGCCACGTCAGCAGGAAACAGCACTGGCTGCCAGGTCACATTCAAGACAGTCTGGAGCAAGGCAGCGTGCAGCACATGCAGGACAGAGGCCGCCTCTGTGGTTTCTCCCAAGTGCAGGGAGCACTCGGCTTGGAAAAAAAGGCTGGCCTCTGAGCACTACAGCAACACCAGCTCAGGGGAGACACAGAATACTATCTTTGAGACTTTCCCCGTTTTTCAATGTTCCCCAGATATTCCCAGCTCTAGAGTTATTATTTTCTCTTCTTCTCCTTTTCTTAGAGGGCTTACTGTACTGTATCCAAATTCACATTTGGAAAAGGCTGCCACAAGCCAAATCAAACTTCATCGTGGCTTTCTGGCTCCCAAGCCCGACAGAGGAAATTCTGCACACCCCATCAACCAATCTCAGCGGTCCCGACACCCATGAGTCAGGATGGAAAACCTGACCCAGGGGCCGACACAGAAAAGTGGTCACTACAGGCCTTTTTCCTTCTAAACACATACGGTAAACACAGTAAACAAAGAAGCCATGCCAGATGTCATCATAATACCTCACAGGATGGATTCACGACAAGCAGCAAATGAATTGTTCTGTGCAAAGAGACAATGACAATACCACATTTCACGTAGCTGGCCCAGTGAGTCCAAAATCAATCCTCATGTAAACCAACATGATTAAGGGGAAAGAGCTGAAATAGCAGGGCTCCTAGGCACCTGGATTCCTAAGCATTTAATTTGTTGCAAATTTCAAACAGGGGTCCCGTGAAAAGAAGAAGTGTGATTTTTTTCAGAAACTTTGTAAGTTGAGCACGTTCCCCTCTGCTATCAGGGGAAGGGCTCTTAAAAGACAGCCCCAATGTCAAAACCTTCTCTCCAAAAATACCAGGTTTGAAGAAAAAAAAAAAAAAAAGCCCTTCCCATGGAGAATGTGAGTGGCAGAAACAGGAGAAAAAACAGGAAACAGGAGGTGAAGACAGGGAGTAGTTGAGGACATGAAGGGTACGGAGAATGGGCAATGGATGGAGAACGGACAGGAAGCAATGCAACACACCCGTGGAAACACAGCAAAGGCAGTCTGATTCTGATCCTGATTCTGACAATTTTGCCAGGCACTGCGCTACTACTTAGAAGGCGTTAAGTACCCCATACATACACACAGAAACCCAAATGCAAAAGGAGTGGGGAGTGAAGGGGTGAGGCTTCTAAGAGAGGTCTACAGCAATATGGGCATGAAGAGTGAGCCAGTAAAGGGAGAAAACCACACAGAGCCAGGAGGCCACCTATGGCTGCAAAACCAGCGATTTTTGTGAAGAGGAATTGGCAGCCAAAACAAACCGAAATGTTATATAGGTACTTAGAGAGTTGGTGATGTAAAAGGTATTCCTTTTTATTTCCAGTCATTTGTGAACATGAAGAAGCCTGACAGACCCTCTAAAGTGAGCGGCCAATTCATCAAACCTGGTGATCAGACAGGGACTGAGTATCCACAAGTGGATATCACCAGCTCCTCTACTGATGGGGAGAATGAAAATATTAGATTCTGCTACCTTTTAACTTACTGAAAACCAGAGAAATACAGTAAGCCCTCACATAACGTCATCCACAGGTTCCTGGAAGCTGCAACTTTGAGTGAAATAACGCATAACCGTTTTTCCCCTCATCAATGCTGTAACAAATCCACATCGAAGGAAACAACGCAACTCAAGGACCTGTTATATGTTTCACTTACAGTTTCCAAGAACCTATCCACAACATTACATGAGGACTTAGGGTATTTCAAGTTTAATTAGCTACCGCAGGTTTTAAATAAATATACATTTTCATGGAAGAAAAATCACCTACTAATCTAGGATAACATTTTAAAAGCATTTCCAAAATTAAAACTACCAAATCTCAAATACTTCTTGTACATCTGGAATAAATTTAAATTAGTTATTATGCAAGTGAAGTATCTAGAGGTAGATGGGCTAGATCCAAAGGTAATATATCTCTCTTGGTTAACACTGTAGGAAAAAAAAAGAGGTTGGGGGAGTGGGGAGTGGAGTCGGGGAGACGGTAAGTAAAGAAAGCTAAATAGTTTCCATATAAAGTTAGAAGCACATTTAGATTGCTGAACTGGGTTATGTAGTTTTTAATAGGATAATGCTACAACAGCAAACACGTGAACAATGGAAACCTTAAAATTATTTAAAACCCAAAGTGTAGACTTTACCAAAAGGTTAGACAAAGCAGAACACACGGAAGTGGTAGCACTGGCAAATATACACTCACACATACAGAGTGTGTGTGTCTGTATGAGTACACACAAATATGCATACATATGCACACACAAAAAATAAATAAGGCTTTCCGCATAATGAGACAAACTAACAAAGAATATCACAAGATTATGACTTGTATGTAAGTCCTCCAGGGCATATTTAGAAGCAATGATGTTTAAACAAATTAGTCATATTTCTACAACTAAGGAGATTGAATAGAAAGCTATCTCAATTTTTTCATACACACAAAATGATTATGCAAACACAAACTTAGAAAAAAAACCTATGTAGATTTGTTATTTTTTAAAAAATACCTAGATGAGAAAAATAAAGAGTAGTGTATTTTATGGATTATTTGAAACTTGAAGGATAAACACTTGAGCGGATGGACACCCCATTCTCGATGATGTGCTTATTTCACATTGCATGCCTGTATCAAAACATCTCAGGTACCCCATAAATATATACACTTACTATGTACCCACAAACTTTTTTTAAATAAAAAATTATAAGCATATTTCACCGATTCCAAGTACCTTTTTCACATTTTCACATCTCCTGAAAAAGGAAGTCAACTTAATCGGTGGTGTTATCTCTTTTGTAGAGACATTTAAAAAAAAAGAATGATGCATTTAAAAACCAATGGCATAGATTTGACAAAATGACACCAAATAATCCTAAAAAACCAACTGGAAAAGGACAACTATGTGTAATGCCCCATAGATGAGAGACAAGCAGAAAGGCCATCCCATCTAGCTCAGCAGATAAGAGGTGTACGCATGGGGGATGGGGAGTCAAGACACACACACATCCTTTAGCTGAGGCAGTACACCTAAAATGAAAAGGTACCACTTCTCTGTTTTAGAGTTTTTTCATTCACAAATAATTCAAAACCTTAAATATTAGACATAAAAGTTAAATCTACAATTTTTTTTGAAGTGCAACGTAAACTAAATACTTATGACAATACTATCTTTAAAAATATTCTGGGACCCAATAATTGTATCTAAATCTCTGAAGGTGAGGCCCAAGCATCAGTATTTTTTAAAAATCTCTAGCTATTCAAACATGCAGCCAAGTTTAACAACCAGTGAGAGAAAGCACCCGACATGGCTGGGCGTGGTGGCTCACACCTGTAATCCCAGCACTTTTGGAGGCCAAGGTGGGTGGATCACAAGGTCAGGAGTTCGAGACCAGCCTGGCCAATATGGTGAAACCCTGTCTCTACTAAAAATACAAAAATTAGCTGGGCACGGTGACGGGCACCTGAAGTCCCAGCTACTCGAGAGGCTGAGGCTCGAGAATCGCTTGAACCTGGGAAGCGGAGGTTGCAGTGAGCTGAGATCATGCCACTGTACTCCAGCCTGGGTGACAGAGCAAGACTCTGTCTCAAAAAAAAAAAAAAAAAAAAAAAAAAAAAACACCCAACATACAAAAGGTATACACAAGCTTTTTTAAAGTAGCAATTATTAAAACAAGAGAAATCACACTGGATTAATTTTCTTTCCTGTTGTTACTAGTCAAGAGTAACATATGCTTATAAAATTTTAGAGAAATTTATGTAGGACCTAAAGTAAGGTCTCAATGATAATTTAAAATCTCACTTTCAAGTAGAAAATCCTAGATAATTAAGCTCTTGAAATCTGCCCACACTTGAACCTATT
The DNA here is from genome assembly GCF_000001405.40 of Homo sapiens. Taxonomy (NCBI): domain Eukaryota; kingdom Metazoa; phylum Chordata; class Mammalia; order Primates; family Hominidae; genus Homo; species Homo sapiens. The sequence continues at coordinate 172,149,563 of NC_000003.12, read as the reverse complement.
TAAGTAAAGCTTTAAGTATTTTCATAAAAATTAGGGACATATAAACTGCAGAGAACGCCACAGGAATTAAAGAAAGAAAAGAGAAAAGGGGTGGTAAAAATAATTTTAGAAATTATCTGTTCTAATCCTCTTATTTTAAGGTGAGAAAACTGAACCCCTGATCAATGGAACCAGACTAAATGGTAAGGAATTGAAACCTGTATCTGGGGACCCTCTTCCTCTTCTCAGAGCCAGAAGGTTTCAAACCGTTAGGTGTCTTCATTTAAAGTGGAAGAGAAAATTTAAGAATCTAGTTAATTGATTTTTTACTGTATAAATTCAAGTCCAATGACTTTTCAAGTGAATTTCATAAAAACAAACAAAAACAGCTGCACATAACAAAGGGTCTGTGGAAGGTGCAGAGTTAGTAAGATTTGTATCAGTGAAGGGAAACAGGCTTGAAACAAATTTAAAGAGGCCAGACTGGTAAGGCTATTTCACCCTTCCTGTTGAGCCATTTCCTATGTCTCCTAAATACATTATCCAGAGCTACTTTTCAGCACTTTGTCTCAAATTCTAAAGAATCTCATTTTCTTCAAAGTCTGCTCTATGGTTAATTACTTGCCTTCTAACTACTCTGTCTATAGCCAAGAATAGGTAGAATGCACCTGTTGTTCTTGAGTTACATCTGAGATGGAGCCTGGCATTCTATTCGCTTCTGAGGAATGTTAATTGCTGATACCAGCATGACAGGTGCAATGAGGAGTAGAAAAATGATCAATGAACTCAACCACTGAACAGGAGCAGAACTCAGACACTATGAGAAAACTCCTCAGTGCTGTAACTGTAATTACTAATAATACTCAGTCTGGCAATCAATAATTTGACGCTTGAAATAGATTTTTTTAAACAGGGCCCGAAGTTCTAAATTGCTACAATAGTCTCTGTCCACGTGAGAAAAAAAAGAAATGTGTAATTCCATTTTCCATGTTACTATGGAGCCAATTCACTCACCTCAACTGTCTCTCATGGCTTCTCTCTTCTGTAGGCAATGTTCCTCAGTTCCAGATCATTACTGGTGTGGAGTCCTATCTATTTTGAATTCTGAGTCACTTCCTTTCTCACCAGTTTCATGCTTTAAAATTTTCCCATTTTTGTATAGTACTTTACAAAATGAAGCCAACTTCCATATTGGCCCACTATTTTTTTTACCCTCCACATTGGCTGCTTCTTTTACCGTGGCCCAGTTGACTGGGAAAAAGGGATGTACTTATTGCTTGAATAAGTACATCCCTTATTTAGATGTTTAGAATATTTTTCATATTTTTTATAAGTTTCCTAACTTGATGATCTCCAAATACTACATAATATTATTCATTAGACTTTAAAATAACCTAACGATATCTCTGGCAATCATATTTATTCTTATTATGGGGAAACTGAGGCACAGTGAAGAAAAACAAGTTCCTAATAAAATTAGGAACTTAATAAAATTAGCAACTGAATTAGGAGATGGAAACTGAAAGACTACAAACAAATCCTTTGAAAATTAGAGTCCCGGGTTCAAACCTCAATTCATTAAAACTGTAGAAAAGGGAGGAAAAATTTTTCAAAAAGAAAAAAATTCTATCTTTGAGCTTATAAATAATAATCTTTTAAGTCAATTTTTCTTATTTTTCTGCATCTAGATGGAATTTTTTTCCCTTTTGTCCATTGGGTGACCAGACTTAATTCTGAGAGCCTTCTTTTTAATTTAAGGGTACAACTTCTGTAAATACCCTTCTCTTACAAATGTCACCAACCCCGACGATCTCCACCTCCATGAGTCTCAGAACTCCTGAACCAAGAACATCAGTAACACCCTGAACATCTCAGAAATACAAATTTTCTGGCCCCACCCACCCCAGACCTGAATCAGAAACCCTGGGGGTAGAACCAGCAACTGTGTTTTAACAGGCCCTCCAGGTGATTCTGGTTTATGCTACATTTTGAGAACCGAGACTACCTGTTGATAATCTTTAGGGTCTGACATAGATGTCATATACTGAATTCATATACTATAGGGACCACCCACCCAAGTCAAGCAACAAAATGATTCCTAGGGACCTACACCATTCGAGCTAGATTAGGAAGGGAACAAAGAGGGAAGCAAAAGTCCCAGTCCAATCATTTCATAAAGGCATGCGAAAACAGGGCTCACAGCAGCTTATCAGCTTCTGAAAAGTGGCAAGTTGTAAGATGGTTATTTTCTCACCTCACTTTTTTTTTTTTTTTGTTTGGAGACAGGGTCTCACTCTGTCGCCAGGCTCGAGTACAATGTTGCAATCTCAGCTCACTGCAACCTCCATCTCCTGGGTTTAGGCAATTCTCCTGCCACAAGCCTCCCGAGTAGCTGGGATTACAGGCATGCACCACCACACCTGGCTAATTTTTGTATTTTCAGTAGAGACAGGGTTTTGCTATGTTGGCCTGGCTGGTCTCAAACTCCTGACCTCAAATGATTCCCCTGCCTTGGCCTCCCACGGTGCTGATTACAGGCGTGAGGCACCACGCCTGGCCTTCTCATCTCACTTTTTAAAGTCTGTCCACTCTGCATAATCATACCTGTTCCAATCAACTTTGAATTTCATTAAACATAGGTGAACTTTGAATTTCGTTAAACATACGTGAACTATTGTGTTTACATCTAAGTAAGTATAAAGTAAATCTGTACTCTGCCGAAAGCAGTAACTCATATTTCTGTCTGATGGTTCTTGTTTATTACTTAGAAGCTTATAACCAAAGCTAAAAAGCAATTTTAATAGGTTCAGTAAAGCCAACTACCACATAGATTTTACTTAATATGTATAAGAATACAAGATAAAAGATCTTTAGACACTTTACAAAACTGCCAAACTTGCTAAAGAAGATGAACCTGATAAACAGCCACAGGTACACAGCCTGTACACTGAAATGTACGTGGGAAAGCACAGTGCAAGAATTTCTTGAGCTGTCCTGAGGGTTACGTTAACCAGAGCTTCTCAACCTCACTACATATTCAAATGGCCCGGGAGCTTTTCAAAACCACTCATGCCCAGTCCCCAACCCTTACAATCTGACAATTCCCCTACAATCTGACAATTCCCCTGGGCTCAGACAATGTGACACTTCCCTACAACTAGCCTACATATCAACTTTTAAACTTTTTTTTTAAGTTCCCAGGTAATTCTGATGTGCAAAAGGATATAAGCCACTGTTAATACACACAGTTTTAAAATTCTGAGATGTTAGACATGTCCTTTTCCTTGGGCATATGATTCAAGAACTATGTCACTCAACAGGTGAGCGCTTGACTCACAGAATAAGAACTGTCGTGACTATTAACTAAGAATAAATTAACCAATTTAATCCTAGATCTTGATTTCTAACTCATGGGATGATAGTGCCATGCTTTTTTTTATATATTTTATTAATGTTTTTAAAAAACTATTTCCGCCAGGCACGGTGGCTCACGCCTGTAATCCCAGCACTCTGGGAGGCCGAGGCGGGCAAATCACCTGAGGATGGGAGCTCAAGATCAGCCTGACCAACATGGAGAAACCTCCTCTCTGCTAAAAGTACAAAACTAACGGGGCGTGGTGGCGCATGCCTGTAATCCCAGCTACTCAGGAGGCTGAGGCAGGAGAATCGCTTAAACCCGGGTGGCGGAGGTTGCAGTGAGCCGAGATCACACCATTGCACTCCAGCCTGGGCAACAAGAGTGAAACTCCATCTCAAAAAAAAAAAAAAAAAAAGAAAGAAACCTATTTCAAGTTTACACTCAAAGACAATTTATACTATCTGCAAAGATTACTCTTCCTCAACAGAACACAAGCTCAGTTCTAGCATTGCCTAAGTACAGATGCTCTTTAACCTGTGACCGAGTTACGTCCCAATGAAACAATCGTAAAGTTGAAAAATCTTAAACCATTATAAATCTGGACCATTTATACTTGCTTTATTCACAAGGTACCACAGTGCAGCAGGCAAAAACTGACATTGCTGGATCTAGCATAAGACATTCTGAAATGATGTTCAAAATCCAACCAAGGAGAACTGTTGAAGACTCAGCACTTCAAGAACAAACAGTTTGACATTTACATGAGATAAGTGTATGCGTATACCCACTTTAATGAGAACTGCAAAACGAAACAGGAAACACAATTCATCTGGTCATTTCTCTAACACAGAATAACATTTTCACTAGAAGACAGAGCAAGAAAAGGACTTATATTTTGATTTAAGTTTCCACTCTTTTTTTTACTCCCAAAGACTTCTCCCTTGATGCTACACCTCCCTCCTCTTCTTATCAATTTGGAACAGAAATAATAATCTGCTAATACATACCCGGGAGCTTTTTAAATAAAGTGAAGATGTGGACACTCCTATAGCTAGAAAGATAACAAAACAGGTGTTTAAAACTGGCTCCACAATGCAATATATAAAGCATCCAAAAAGGTATTATATTTAAATTATGGAATGCTTCGACCTTAATTCAGGCACAAAAAGACTTGAATACTTAGGGGGGAAATAATCTTTTCTCTTCAAATAGAAAAAAAAAAAAGTGGTAGGGGGAGGAGGGTCTATCCAACCACACAAGAAATGTGAAGCTAATTCAAAGAACTCAAAAGCAGGAATCATAAAGGAAACCCCCATTCTGTGGGCAATTCTGAGGCCAGTTTTCTCCGTATTTAGATTGGATCCAAAAAAGAAGTAGTAAAGCATATTCCCCATTAACTCAGCAGTCTTGCCTCACAAATAGTGTGCAAATTACCTTCCAAGACACTGAAAACCCTCTTCAGAGAGGAAATACCCAAGTTGAGGAAAAGGAAAAAAATACCCACTTAAAAAAAAAAAAAGTTTGCCTTTTAAACCCATATTTGTTACTCTTAATGTGTGTCCAATTAAGAGACAGAGAATACAAAATGTTTAGTGCTCTCAATTATGTTACAAGACAAATATTTTTCTAAGACACTGTAGTTCATCTACCTTAGGGAAACATTCATCCAGTGTGTTCTCACTGGTCACAAGTCATGACTATCTCCTAAATGTCTGTAATATCTGCTTCTCCTTCCACATCCCACCACGAATGCACTCCTTCAGGCTCGACGCCTGCCTGCCCTCTTCAATCACACCGCTGGTAGAGAAAAACCATTATGCCACCTTCATTTAACTCAGTAAATGATATGATTTGGATCTCTGTCCCCTCCAAATCTCACACTGAGATGTGACTCCCAACGTTGGAGGTGGGGCCTGCTGGGAGGTGACTGGATTGTGAGGATGGGTCCCTCAGGAATGGCCTAGCACCATCCCCATGGTGATGAGTGAGTTCTCATTCAGTGCACAGGAGATCTGGTTGTTTAAGAGTCTGGGACCTCTCCCTTCTCTCTCTTACTCCTCCTCTCGCCATGTGACACGCTGGCTCCCCTTCGTCTTCTGTCATAATTGTAAGTTCTTTGAGGCCCTCACGAGAAGCAGATCCCAGCACCAAGCTTCCTATATATCCTGCAGAACCATGACCCAATTAAACCTCTTTTCCTTATAAGCTACACAGTCTCAAGTATTTCTTTACATCAATGCAAACACTGACAAGCACGAATGAGCCTCATTTACTATTTATTTATTTATTTATTTATTTATTTATTTATTTATTTATTTTGAGATGGAGGCTCACTCTGTCACCAGACTGGAGTGCAGTGGCACGATCTCGGCTCACTGCAACCTTCACCTCCCAGGTTCAAGCGATTCTCCTCCCTCAGCCTCCAGAGTAGCTGGGACTACAGGTGTGTGCCACCACGCCCAGCTAATTTTTGTATTTTTAGTTGAGACAAGGTTTCACCATGTTGGCCAGGATGGTCTCAATCTCTTGACCTCATGATCCGCCCGCCTCGGCCTCCCAAAGTGCTGGGATTATAGGCATGAGCCACCGCCCCAACCCTCATTTACTAAAGCATAATTTGTTCCTGGGTCTGACACAGAGTTTACCGAGAATTTATTACTATACATAAACGCTATAATTTCCAACAGCAAGAAAACATAAAATATTAATAAAATTAACGAGTAACCTAAAATATTTGTTAATAACACAAAAATAAATACAAAGTTTGGGAAAAAGTTGATGTATCTTTAAGGATTAAATAGCCTAACATTTTCTAAGGTATTCCCATCCTATTCTCCCCCAAAATAAAGTTATTAAAAGCATGAATATAATGATTCCCTCATGCATTTTTACAGGTAAGAGAAGCTAATCCATATATTGGACTTTTTCAGAATTACTGTTTTTGGAAACACACTCATGCCTGTATTCATTATCTTAAATTGAGGAACTAAGAGTGAAAATAACTAAATTTAACTACCTTTTCAGAACAACAAAAATAAATAACTTCTCTAAATTACCTAAGAGAATTTTTCCATCATTTTATCTTCAGCAGTACTATCACTGTCTGAATGTTTGTGTCCCCTACCCCAGCGCAAATTCATACATTGAAATTCTAACCCCAAAGGTGATGGTATTAGAAGGGGTGGTACTAGAAGGGGTGACTGGATCATGAGGGACACTAATCCCCATTCATGAGGGATTAGTGTCCTTATAAAGGAGGCCCAAGAAGACCCCTAGGCCTTTCAGCCACGTGAGGACACAGAGAGAAACTGCCATCTATGAACCAGAAAGCAGGCCTTCCTCAAACACCAAAGAAGCTAGTATCTTGATCTTGGATTTCCCAGCCTCCAGAACTGTAGGAAATAGATTTCCGTTGTTAATAAGCCACCCGGTCTCTGGTATTTTTGTTATAGCAGCCCAGACAGACTAAGACAAGTATCAGGAAATGACTTTCCTTCAGTCTGAATGCCTCCTGCATGCAGGATAGGCTCTGGGATACAAAGATGACTAAGCTTTGACCCTTGCCCTTGAAGAACTTAATCCAGTCTTCCTTAAAGACACTTGTAACATGAACTTTTCTATTTCAGGTTGGAAGTGCAAGAACAAGAGTAAAAAATACAGAAAGAATAAAGCAGGAACTGAAAGACTACAAGCTGTGAAATAGCCTGTGGCCAACCACTGAGGTAATGCGACACTGCTCGCTTTTCTGAATTATCTGACATGCAAAGATCTGTGACATTTAAAGAACTCTAAGCAGTGGTACCTTCAGAGATGACATTTTAATCATTGTTTAACAAGCCTAAAGGGCAGAAGGGTTGAGGAGTTAAACTGCGATTGCATAACTTTTAAACATGTTATTTTGAAGTGTTAGAATTTAAACGTGAAGACATCTAAAAAATCCTAATAACTCCAGTTCGCATAGGCTTTCTGAAATGCTTTAAAAATGATTAGCTAACAAAAAATGAAGGGGGGGTCAATGCCCACCCATAATAAAGAGCGAAAGCTTAGTAATCACTCCTATTTATTGGGCCCCTACTATGACTCAGAAATTGTTCTTAGTGCTCTGTACACAATAACTCATTTAATCACAGCAATCCTTCCAGAGAGAAATTACTATTCCAGCTCTACAGATAAGGAAACTGAGGTGTAGAGAAGTTAAGGAACTAATTTTACAATATACATCTAATGTGCAGGGGATTTTTGAGCCAGGCAATCTCACTCCAAAATCTATAATGATCTTCCCAATATATAGCCCTGACTGCTTCTTGGTACTGCCTAAGAAACAGAATGCACTAAATAAAAATTTTAACAAGTATGGAAACAAGTTTTTTTTTTTTGAGACGCAGTCTCACTCTGTCTCCCAGGCTGGAGTGCAATGGCACGATCTCAGCTCACTGCAACCTCCATCTCCCAGGTTCAAGTGATCCTCCTGTCTCAAGCCTCCTGAGTAGCTGGGATTACAGGTGCCAACCACCAAGCCCAGCTAATTTTTGTATTTTGGTATTTAGGGGGAAATAGAGATGGGGTTTCACCATGTTGGCCAGGCTGGACTTAAACTCCTGACCTCAGGTGATCTGCCCCACCTTGGCCTCCCAAAGTGTCGGGATTACAGGCGTGAGCCACTATGCCCAGCCAGAAGTATGGAATTCAATGAAAATGTAAAAGGAGGCACATTAGAAAAACTGCTTTGTTGGATAAAATAAGAGGATACAGCCTTCTCTGAATATAGCTGCTCAGGCGTGGTGCAAGAGTGAACGGCTGTTATTCAAAAGAAAACCAACAACTAAAAATCTACAACAAAATTTACTTTAAATTCATGGAACACTGGACCCATTGTTTTAGCTATAACCCCATATCTGAACAGTATACACATTCTTATAAACCTTCATCTAAAATGTTTGAACTGGTGCCATCACCAGCAACCCTATGAAAGCAAGTCTATCATAAATAAGCAATGAAAGGGAGACTAGAATTTCAACTGATTTCTACAAGTAGGAAAATGAAGTCATTGCCCACAATCATGCCATCTATTTAGGGGGGGGAAAAATCAGTAAAGCTGTGTATACAACTAGATAATGATGATAAGAATAATGACACTTACAATGGATTATCCTCACAATCCTATCAGATAGGTACTATCATTGTTCCCATTTTAAGAGAGGAAATTGGGGCTAACAGGTTAAGCATTAGCTACGAAATGACCAGGGATTCACACTACAGAGCTGTACTCTGAGAACTCAACACCAATTCATCTTAAGTCTGATGACACAACATTGGGTGACAGTTTTATCTAAGGGTTTAACATTCCGTTCTTATGTAAATATAAGAATAAACATAAAAATCAAGATAACTGAGACAGGAAGAAGGAGAAAGGCAGGAAGCAGCATATACCCTGAGTACCTCCCTTGAGAGGGACTTAAAACCTCCTAGGAAAGCAACATAGTTTGGTATTGACGTAACCCAGCCTCATGACATTACACAATCCCAGCAAGATGACAGTTGCACGTACAATCACAGCCTTTGCTCTCATTCCTTCCATAACCTGGACTTTCTGCTCTGGGCCCGTCAGTATTTTCCGGCCCTGGTGGAAACCACCTGCTGGTAAACTTCCAGTTACTCAGCAGCAAGCTGCTGTCTGTAAAAGGGTTTCTCAGGTCAGCGTATGGAATGTCTACTTGTAACAAATAGCTGTGCATCAGTCCATGTTGAGAGGAATTGCTAACTGTCATGTGCAAAATAGAGCCCCCAAACATTTCAGAGATCAAGAGTACTCCACAAAGCTGAAAGTAATTTTTCTTCAATCTTTCTCCAAATTTCATGTAAATCCAATCATGGAAAATGGAAAAATCGTCTAATGAAGCAAATATATATACACACACGTAAATATATATTTGTAGTACAGACACACACAGGTAAAAGACTGATTGGTCTTGAAGCTAACATTTAAGTATCATAAGGTAAGCTGGAGAGTTGGTAGAGTAATTCAGATTTTCCTAGAAATTCAGACTATCTTGGCTTAGAGCCTCCTGGGAGGATTAACTCTCACCATATACAGCTTTGGATCAATCAGAAAGAAAGATGGCCATGACACTAGGGCTAGCCTTGGCAAATGACTTGCTATTTTCAATTCTAGAAGATTTTCCAAGTGAGGCCTAAGTGTTCACAATAACATTTCAGCTTGTTAGCAATCCCTCACAAATCCACCAAATACTAAAGAAATGGGTTTCGGACAGGCACACTGGCTCATGCCTGTAATCCCAGCAATTTGGGAGGCCAAGGTGGGAAGATCACTTGAGCTCAGGAGGTCAAGGCTGCAACGAGCTATGATCTGATCGTGCCACTACACTTCAGCCTGGGTGACAGAGCAAGTCTGTCTCAGAGCCAGGTCTTTGTTTTTGAGACAGGATACCCTGTCTCAAAAAACAAAAAAAAAAAGAAATGGTTTTCAAGGCAGTTTCTTATGTAGAAAACAAGCTCCTAAAATCCTAATCTTGTAATAGGAAGAAACATTTCCATTTATAATACAGACATTTTACAAATAGTCAAATAACAATTCATCCAATATAATAAAAGTTGGCAAAGATTCAGAATTTAATGCATTCATGTTACAATAATTTTACTTTCAAATCACCCAAATATTTTTAATCAAAAAACTGGTTGCAAATTTCAGCCAAGACAGAGATTCACTACAATCTTTGAAAGCAAGCTTCATTTGCAACAGGTCCTCTTCCTGGGTTTTAAGCTAGTAAAACAGGAATTTCTCATTTATATGCAAAGTATGTATTAAAGGGAGAGACCATATGCATGCTTTGCTTTTGAAGTTTTAGTCTACCTCAGTTTGCAAAACCAAGCTATGACACCATTCTTGTCATTTCACACTAAACAAAGCAAGAGACAACCCAAATTCCCTAGGACCTGTCATAAAATTCTTAGAAAGAATGACAGGTCAGTGTTTTAGTGTGCCAAACAAGTCTAATAAATGCACTTAAAGTATCATATAAGGAAAAAAAAGCAACGTTAAGGTCCCAAAAGTATCACATAAGGAAAAACAAGTAACATTAAGGTCCCTGTGACATTCTGGATGCTGACTCATACATGGAGGGGCGGGGGATGGGAGACAAATGAGGAAATTCAGAAATGGTGAACAGCTCTCAATGGTGTCATTCACAGAGCCACTGGGCAGAGCATGATGTTCATCAACGATACAGTTCCCACACTCACTGAGGCAGGGGGAGAATTAGACACAGAGCTGAAGAAGTCTTATGGAGAACAAGCAAGAGCGGAAAAAGTTTCACATTCGAATAGCTTCAAAGCTACAGCCATCTCATAGTAGTGCCCTCTTAGAATTCCCCTCTGCACGCATTCTGTTGTCATTTAGTCATTTTGAGGTCTCTATTCACTTAACACAAGTCAGCAGATTAACTGCTATGGTAAAAGATTCCTAAATTATTTTGGACAAAAACTATTAGCAATTAAGTATCTTTAAATATTACTGTTTACTAACATAATGGTGCTTCCTAAGAATTTTACTTTAATCAGTATTTTTTATCACCATCACACTCACCTATTTTCTTTAGCCTCACAATTTATATCTAATAGTCTTAAATAAAAAATTACAGTATTAATAATGTAGGGTCATTGTAAAAGTTCTTTAGAATTTAAACATATTTCTCTAAAGGAAACTCATTAACTTCAATTATCAATGGAATCTAGTATTTCAAAGTTCTTCTATTGAGATTTAGAGACTGCTATAAGCACGTAACTAAACCTCTTTAAACTGCCATCAGAAGAGTAAAATTTAAAAGAAAAATCATCATGCTTGAATGTAATACCAGAGCCACTCAGGAATCCAGTCAGTAATTATTCTCAAGCTGTGTGGCTGGGGAGCAGGGTGAAGATACACTGTTTCCTGTCACAACTGAATTCACATCTAATTCGAGAGCTAAGGAAAGGTTTACGCATATAACCAGACTGTGTAGTGCTACCTCTACCTGCTCCTCCAGAATTCAGGGAAAAGTCAGGCAGTGGTCTGAGAGAGCTCTTGGAAGAAAGAGGCCTAAAGTCTTAAAGGAAGCATGATGTTTGTTTTGGCTGGAGGATTTTACAGGGAGCAGATAAAGAGATGGCATGTGTAGACAGGAAGGAAGGCTGCATTGCCAGCACCTCAGCCCAGACACAGATATGAAAATAATGGGAGAGACCCAAGTGTGCCCTCTATTAATTCCTGAACTGAAGCAAAGGCAAAATTCATACTGATTGCTAAGATTCTTTTTTCCTAACAATTAGCTCTTTATACACTTTGATCTGGCCAAGAGAAAATAAATCCTTTGTCTAGGATGCCATAGGTATAGGCTAACCCCAAGTGAGAATAAACTATGACCTTTTTTGGCCCCTTCAAGACCTATGATTCATGTTTCATGGGAAATATTGAGAAATATTCCATTAGAAATGAATCTGCGTTCACAGCATATTGTATGCTTCCTGTGTTTTCTTCCTTATCACCAAGGACATTCCCATAAAAACACATTTTTTTTTCTTTTTTAATAGACGGGGTCTCAGGATAGAGTGCAGTGGTGCAACCATAGCTCACTGCAGCCTCAAACTCCTGTGCTCAAGTGATCCTCCCACCTCAGCCTTCTGAGCAGCTGGGACTACAGGCATGCACCACCACACCTGACTAATTTTTTCTTTCTTTGGTAGAGATGGGTCTCACTATGTTGCCCAGGCTAGTCTTTAACTCCTGGCCTCAAGCAATCTTCTGCCTTGGCCTCCCAAAGTGCTGGGATTATAGGTGTGAGCTTCCCTACTCAGCCCATATTCTTCTGTATTAATTTGCTTTCAACTTCCAAGCTGCCTTTTAATGAGATCACAATGAGCTTCTGAGGTCTTTCTAGTGGTGTCACAAATGTCCTACAGATAAAATTATCAGGCTAATAAATTCAGTTACAAGTAAAGAGGACTGACCTCATACAATGTGATTTCAAAGTTTCCAGGAAGGCCCAGCAACCAACTCCATTCCCTACCTGAAATCCCCACAAAGCAGTCCCTAATCTGAAGGCTGGTGTTAAAATAGCAAAGTTATTAGGCTGACAGTTTCAACCACGGCATAATCAATGGGTATGACTTCAAAATTTCCAGGAAGGCCACCACCACCCATCACCTTCCCCTCAATTTAGAAAAACACCGCCGGATGTGGTGGCTCATGCCTGTAATCCCAGCACTTTGGAAGGCTGAGGTCAGGAGATCGAGACCATCCTGGTTAACACAGTGAAATCCTGTCACTGCTAAAAATACAAAAAAATTAGACAGGTGTGGTGGCGTGTGCCTGTAGTCCCAGCTACTCAGGAGGCTTAGGCAGGAGAGTCGCTTGAACCCGGGAGGCGGTGGTTGCAGTGAGCCGAGATTGTGCCACTGCACTCCAGCCTGGGCGACAGAGTGAGACTCCATCTCAAAACAAAAAACAAACAAAACAAAAACACTCCCGCCTGTTGGCCAGTGTTCAAAGAACATAAGTAGAGTTTTGATCTCTTAAATCCCTAACAAAATACAAATATTTCTTTCAGAAATTTCCATTACAATGTGACCATTTTCAGATTCCTTCCTAATAGGTTTTTAAATGACAAAGAACTGCCTCCCACTGTACCTACAAGTCCTCTCCCATTGTCCTGGAGCTGGAGCCCTCCCTGGCCCCAATCAACAACAGCTGGAGCTGGAGCTGGAAGCCCCACCTGGAAGCTGAGCCACCCCAAATCTGAACTCAAACCTGATTTGGGGCAGAAATAATTTAATGAGTTCTAAACCAATACTCCCTGCATCACACTGTCTGCTAGTCACTGCTCAACCAGTAGATCTCACTTCATTAACAAAGTGCTCGCCCCTAGCTTATTCCCAAGACTCAGTCTCCACCAACCACTTTTGTTCTGCAAACCATCTGTCTCATTCTGGGTATCTAAGTAGTCATCCTGCTATCCAGCTCAGAATCCTGTTACTCCAGGAACAGGAACTTAACCTTGCTGTTGTCAAGAGAATGGAGTCCTCCCTGACATAAAGGCACAGAACAAGGAACTGAGGGCATCAGACATAGCAGGGAAGAAAACTCAACTCTGCCTCTTTCTAGCTTTGTGACTTTTCGACAGGCCTCAGCTTCCTTATGTGTAACTACACACTCACTAAAGGAAAGAATGCATAGCACAGCCTGAGATGAATAAATGTTAGCAATGGTAGAGATGATGTTAATCACTGGGACTGTGAGGATGACACAGCAACTTGTGTTGGAATTTACAAATACACTGCCTATTGCCACATTTTATGTTGCTATATTCTACCCAACTGGAATGAAGTATTCACGAACTCATACTGGGACTCATATAAAGGGTTTCTTATTTTTTGCCTGAGTGACTGCCTTTTATACATTAGTGGCAGTCAATGAGTCTGAATTTGGGGTTCAGCCTGCTGGGCTGACTTTCCTTCCAGTTTCTGCAGTTCATCCTATTGCCCCAGTGCTTCCGAAACCCTAGTAAAGCACCTGGATCCAGGTCCTAGTCCTCATTCCATCCTGTGTCATTTCAGTTAATTGGGCCAGGTACCACCACTCCCCAAAATGAAGATAACCATAGTATCTGAGACTTCAGAAGAGAACAAAGAATAGGAAGCCTGGAGGGAGCCAAAGATAATGGCTCCACAATTCTGTTTTGGTCAAAGGCATTTTTGAAATCACTGTTAGGAGTGTTAGTGTCACTTATCTCCAAGTATCATCATGAATAAATACAAAGCTCCCTTTGTGAAGAGAGCAATATACTTGCAACATTTCCTGCAAAGTGCACCAGTTATAACATGGATTAAAAAAAGAAAAAAGTGGGGGAGCGGCCAACTCAGTGAAATTACATACATATATACACACAAAAAACACATATATACACACACACACACACATACACACACTCCTTAGACACCAAAAAGTAAACTTAGGTGGAATGAAAGAGATTTTAATGCATGTTCATCCACTAAGTGATTTGCTTTTATAGATTCTATTACACACACTCAGTTGTAGAGGGACATTATGTACTAGCCAATTAATGGGGTGCCAATGTTACCATAACCAGAGGCTTAATTGCTTTCTTACTGAACTGGAAACTTCAGCTTCATCCCATATAGGTGACTTTCATCTAGTTTTTCTAGTGTGATTTTTTTTTTTTTTTTAAGATACAGGGTTGTAGGATTCTGAGGTTTTAATTGTTCACGGTATCTGTTTATTATAGTACTACAAATAGGTGAAAGACTCTATAGTCCATACTATTTAAAAATATTTCTTCTCTTCCTTGACCTGAAGTTTCCCCATATTGTGCATCGACTAAGACTAGGTTTTGATTTTAAATGATTTAGAATTCCAAAGATCAATTTCTGGGACACAACAGAGAAATGCAGAGTAGAAATCATTAATAAAAGTGATTAAATAATTTCATATTAACTTCAATTAAAACTCATTAGCCTTGAATCTTTAAAAATATACTCATTTCTCAAGAAATATTTTCTAAGTTTTTGTTCTTATAGATACAAAAAAAAAGTACAAAGCAACATGCTCTACTATTACGCAAGGAAAAAAAAAACTGTTTCTATACAGCTTATTATGGGAAACCGAAACTAAAGGGCATTTCCCCCAGTTTGTTTGTATATTGGTAAGCAAGTTCAGGTATTAATAGTAAAGCCTCAGATTAGATTCCAGTTCAATTAATAACCTAATACTGATCTCAATTGCATGCCATTTACCATTTGCCCCATAATCCCAGTCACTGTCAAAAAGAGCTATCATAAACAGTGCCTTTTAACACTACAGTGTTTACCAGCTAACATCAGATCTAGGTTGATCTTCCTACACAGAACTCCATATGGATCAAAGTACCTACATCATTTATTTCCAAGTGAACTATACAGAAGAGGCATTAGTATACACACTAGAAGTGTGCTAGGAGCTGTAATAAAATAACTACACCCAAAAGCCTTACCTACACCTGGAACTTTAGATGATAAGGTTCTGAACTCTGAGCTAATCCTATAATGGGATAAGACTTTTGGAGATCTTGGGACGGGGCATTTTGCATTTGGAAGGAACATGAATCATCGGGGGCCAAAGAGTAGCCTGTGTTGGGCAGCCTCTGAGATGGCCCCCAATGACCTGCCTCTTGGTATTCACGCCCTTTCATAATTTCTTCTCTTGAGTCTGGGCTGGACCTACTAGCTCCCTCTTGCCCTCTAGTTATTGGCTCTGAAGCCAGCTGCGGTAACATAAGCTCCCTCCACTTCTCCATGGAGAGGCCCACTTAACAACTAACTGTAGAAAACTTCCTACCATTAGCCCCCTGTGAGTTAATAAATGTTGTTATAAGCCACCAAATTTTGGAGTAATTTGTTACTTAGCAATAACTAACCAACAGATACCCAATACAGATTTTACCACTAAAAATGTCCTTTGGATAACATCATAATATATATTTGAGACCATGCGACAGAAAAAAAAAGAAAATGAATATCCAAGATATACTTTACTTCTAGAAAATTACATGCAGACACACACAGAAAAACATTACTTCCTTCAAATAAAGAAAAAAATCTTTGATTAGAATATTTACCAAAAATGTCCTTACCTTGAATGCACTGAAGTGTTCCATCCTCTGCTCTTATTGTGAAAGTCTCACCTGGATTAACTTGAACGAGAATAACCTGCCAAAACAACACATTAATTTCAGTTTAATACTGGAACCTCTGGGATTTGTTAAGTGTTATTACCTAAATTTATATACTAGACAGGAAGCATGTGGCATAAAATCTTTTATAAACACAAAACTTGGAGTATAAGTCTTAATTGGGGGCATGGGGGTAGGAGGAGTACATGCATTCAAATTTAGCTAAGTGAATTCTCCTGTGTTGCTTATGATGCTATCTAACTTTAAAAACTCCATTTGAAGAAAACTTTTCTTTGAAAAGCACAATTCCCTTTTCGCTTTCACAAATTTAGAAACTACAATTACAGAAGAAAAAACACCAGAAACCATACTTACAGAAGAAAGCTGCATCTAGCAATGAGGTTTTGACCTAACAGTGCTGCATACTGTTCCCAAGTGTCTATTACTGATCTGGTTATATGATTCTATTGTGTGACAACAAAAAATATTTACAAGAAAAATTTTTATAAAAAGAATTATCTGTGTACAGGATCTTAAGACAATAATGAACAGTATTAAATAAATATTATAAATAGGCCCCGCCAAATACCCAAATGTTTAAAGTCAATGTTTTACTTATATGAACATAAATATTTAATATTAGACAACTTCCAAGACTAGACCATGAGTGGTAATAGCAAAGTACGTTCTGTCAACAGCCTTATAGTTTTATTAATAGTTCTAATCAAAGGATAATCAAAGGAAAAAAATCACTAATTGATATCTAAATACAAGTTAAAAGACATAATACAACTTAAAAAACTATAGTTAGGCTGGGCACGGTGGCTCACGCCTGTAATCCCAGCACTTTGGGAGGCTGAGGCAGGTGGATCACTTGAGGTCAGGAGTTCAAGACCAACCTGGGTGAAACCTGGTCTCTACTAAAAATACAAAAATTAACCAGGCGTGGTGGCAGGTGCCTATAATCCCAGCTACTTGGAAGGCTGAGAAAAGAAAATGGCTTGAACCCAGGAGGCGGAAGTTGTGGCAAGCCTAGATCACACCACTGCACTCCAGCCTAGGTGACAGAGCAAGACTCCATCTCAAAAACAACCACCACCACCACAAAAACTATAGTTAAAAACCACCATGTACAAGGCTAACACTATTTTAAAAATCACCATATAATTTCTAGAAATTGACAGGATGTCAGTGTCACATTCATCCTACAGTTATCGGAACAAGCCCTGTTCCTCCCTGGCTTGAAACTGTCAAGCATACTGTTTCCTCTGTCTGTGATACTCTTCCTGTACTCCTTCATCTTAGCTTACCACCTACCTTCCTCCATCCTCAACCAACGTCTATTCATCCTTCTCAGCTTGTGATAACAGTGTTTTGACTCCCAGGACAGGTCAAGTCCCCCACTATGTGTTCTAAATCAAACAAAAATACCCGCTCTACTACTTCTTCCTAGAATTTACAACTGCAATCAATTAACTAAGCAATTATGTTAGTGTCTGCCTTTCCTTCTTTAATCTAGGCATGATAAGGATAACATCCAGCTATCTAGCCCCATGCCTGGCATAGAATAAGTTATGTGCTCAATAACTACTTTCACTGAATGAATGAAAGTCATAAAACATTAAAAAAAAAACTATTGCAAATAATTATCTCAGCTTAGAAATTAAGCTTTCATAAGATGCAATTTAAAAGTCAACTTTATTTACTGTATACACTATAATTTGTTTTGTAAAACTTTTGAAATCAAAACCATTTCATCTTTAAATACTCAATCTTTAATATCCATGTATTTTGCCTCTTCTAATAATTCATCCAGATGATACTGCTGGAATACTAAATTTTTTTAAATCAGAAAATACATTACCTGGAAAAAACAGGATCATTCAGGGAAACTCAGACTAAGCTTCACCCTTGGTGCTTCTCATTATCTTGAATTATGACAGTTATTTCAAGGCAATTTATTTTTCCTATATAATAACTGTAGATAATCTTTGAGTTTTCAGTATTTAAATTATCACCAATGTAAGCACACTGTACTGTTTCAAAAACTCAAAAGGAAATTCCTTCAAGATCTCTAGAATGATTAAAATATTTGGTTTTTTTTTTTTTTTCTTGAGACGGAGTTTCGCTCTTGTTGCCCAGGATGGAGTGCAATGGCGCGATCTCAGCTCACTGCAACCTCCGCCTCCCAGGTTCAAGCAATTCGCCTGCCTCAGCCTCCCCAGTAGCTGGGATTACAGGCCTGCACCACCACGCCTGGCTAATTTTGTATTTTTAGTAGAGATGGGGTTTCTCCATGTTGAAGCTGGTCTCGAACTCCTGACCTCAGGTGATCCGTCCGTCTCGGCCTCCCAAAGTGCTGGGATTACAGGCGTGAGCCACTGCGCCGGGCCAAATATTTGTTTTCTTGAAAAGGAGCTTTTAAAGTCATTTCTTTAACATGAAAATCATTTATTTTTACATAAATATACAATATAAAAACTACAATGGAAGAAAATCACACTTCAATACAGACAATTATCCATGTCTTTTTAAAGGTCCTTAGACCAATTCTAGCATCACTGTAATAAAGCAAAAACCATTTGCTTTGTGTTTAAAGCTCTAGGGATAGAACTGTAATATATGCCCATGGAATTAATTAGCTGGGGGAGGGGGGAACCAATGGATGCCAAGACTCTATGTCCTAGATTTTCTCTGACAATCCCAAATTCATATACTCTCTTCTACCACGCTCATAATTGTCAGACAATGTGCCCTGAATACCGGTTCAGAAAATACAATTCACCAGTATTACGGAAAGTCCCAGGCAAGAAAACGGATTTCTGAATTGGGACATGTCCGGACTGTCGTCACATTATCTGCTTATCATATTGCACAAAAAGTGTCTGTAACAGTTCCTCAGTGGTCACTGACACCAGGCCAAACTTCAAAGAACGACGCAGAGGCATCCAGCCTCTAAGGTCCACTTATACCTTCCCCCCCTGCTTACTGAGTTCAATTCCTGACCCCCATCCCACTTCTTCAGGGAGAAAGATGATAGGTAACGGGCTTTTAAGCATCCGACGAAAATACCTCCCTTCAAATGTTTAGTTCATGTAATTTTCACTGCTGCTGAGTAGCCATAGCAACCAGATTATAATCTACCAAGTTACCTCAGAAACCAGGCAAGTCTCCTGTGTCCCAATATCAATTTTTCTCAGTAGAGCAGAAGTCATTATTTAAACAAACCATATTCATCTTGGCACTGAGGTATTTTAAAAGAAAGCATTTTATTATACTGAGGGAGGCTGACCACCTAGCTGTTTTCATTGTCAATAAAGCAGAGATAAAAATAAGTTTGACACACACCAGCCCAATGACCGGTCCTGACAGCAGACATGAATGAGCTGGCGGCAAAAGGTCTTGCATCACGCAGCCCCGAGGAGCATGAGTCACAACCTGGCCAACTCCCGGCACTTAACCTTTCCTATCATACAAGTTGGGCAATTTCTCTCTCTCCCCCTCCCTCCCTCCCTCTCCCCAACCACAAAGCAGAAATATAATAACTGCTACAAGTCCTCCTTAATATAAAATGCGATACAGAACATCGCTGTCCAAACCACATCATTTTTTGTCTACTCACTAAGCATTTCCTACTTTTCCAAAGTCAGCATTAAACTGATTCATACTGCACCATGTCTTCAGAGGAAGAAAAAAAAGACAAAGATTTTAACTAGATATTTTTTTTCTCCAGAGATCTTAAGAAGAACCATGCTAATCAAATCATGGGAGCATCCTCTAAGCTACTATTGCTTCATCAGATCTGTTTCAAAACCGTTAGTGTTACATGAACCAAGAAGCTGGAAATAAACAGAAGGCAGTTTATCAAAGTTTAATGAAAAATAAGTGACCACTCTTCCAAAGTCCAGAGAAACAATAAAACAAGAGTTGCAATTAATACAATTGAGTAAACACAGCATCATGGGAATTCTTTGTCTAACAGGAGAACTGAAAGAAGGTGTAATATCTTTCCTTTACAGGTATAAATCTAAACCTAACTCTGTTTTATACTCATTAAAAGAGGAAAAGGGAGGCTACTTTTGCAATTTAAACCTTGGGTGGCTGATTAACCAGGTGCCAATAGTATCTAAGACTACTCCTGGAGGCAAATGTCTAATTTATGCCTCAAATAAAAAAATTACCAGTCACTCAAATAAGCAATCAGGGTAATGGATCAGTCCATCAAAAAAGCTTCTGGCCAGGTACAGAGGCTCATGCCTGTAATTCCAGTGCTTTGGGAGGCTGAGACGGGGAGAATCACTTGAGACCAGGAGTTCCAGACCAACCCCAGCAACATAGTGAGACTCCATATCTACAAAAATAATTGTAAAAATTAGCCGGACATGGTGGTGCATTCCTGTAGTTCTAGCAACTCAGGAGGGTGAGGCAGGAGGATCGCGTGAGCCCAGGAGGTCGAGGCTGTAGCAAACCGTGACGGTGCCAACTGCACTCCAGCCCGGACAACAGAGCAAGACTGTCTCCCAAAAAAAAGCTCCTCCTGGGAGAAGAGTACCAACTGACCAAAGACAAAATAGTACACTTGCAGCATTTTTAAGCGTTAAATCCAACCCTCAGACAATCAAGATATAAACCATACCAGAGAGGAGATCCCATTTCACTTCTAGAGTTTTTTCCACTGGCCACACTTTGTGTAGCTTGTTTTCATGTATAAATGAATACTTCTCCCTTGGAGCCCACATTTATGATTATCCAACAGGTATCTTTAAGGGGGAAAATGATACAATCTAAAAGCTGCAGAGGAGTTCCACGCAACTAAGGATTCTAGCCAGGAATACCTAATAACTTCAAAAGTGACCTTTGACTACATGAGAAGAGTACTACCACCTATTCCTCATGCTACTATTTTCTGGTCACACATACTCCCAACTCCCCACTCCCCAGCCCCACCCCCAAGATTCCCAATCTCCAAGCTCTTCCCAGGCCCCCATACCCAAACTGTTCATCCACACACACCTTTGAGACCCCAGTCTGTGTGCCATAGAACACAGCTGGCCTCAGGCAAAACTGAAAAGTAAGCAGTATTTGTGTTTTGAGCCCCCTCTTTTCTCCAAATCAGGAAAAGGGAAGCGATGGGGTGCGAATGCCAAATATTTATCTTTGTGGTAATAACACATGCAAAGAAAATGTCCCAGGATTAAAAACATAAGCAAGTAAACTAGAAAGATCCTGGAAGAAGATGTGAATGTGTCCATTGCCTCATTTTGCTCACTGCCCTACCTGAAGCCTGAATCCAAAGCTGATTGAAAAATAATATACAATAACAGGAAGCCTCCAAGGGGACCTAAGCAAACACTGGGAACTCAAGGTCCAAGGGTACACATTGTAGGTGAAGCTCCCCTTGCTCAACACAACCCGTAGGATACATGGCAAATATGTTTTCCTGGGCTTTAGGACTCTTACTATGCAAAATAAGGAGCAAGAATATCCACTACTCCAAAAGTTTTAATACTGTTTTCTTCAAAGAATAGAAGGTTCAAAAGCTGTATCCTCGGCCGGGTGTGGTGGCTCACGCCTATAATCCCAGCACTTTGGGAAGCTGAGGCAGATGGATCACTTGACATCAGGAGTTAGAGACCAGCCTGACCAACACCCTGTCTCTACTAAAAATACAAAAATTAGCCGGGGGTAATGGTGGGTGCCTGTAGTCTCAGCTACTCTGGAGGCTGAGGCATGAGAATCGCTTGAACTCGGGAGGCAGCAGTTGCCATGGCACTCCAGCCTGGGCAACACAGTGAGACTGTCTCAAAATAATAATAAATAAAACTTAAAAATAAAAATGTGCTGTTCTTTGTTTAAAAAAAAGCTGTATCCTCAATATCACATGTGTCTGTAAGATTAATTTGGCATGATGCAGGGTACTTTATCAACTCCTTTTTCCAGGTTTTTTTTCTACAATGATTAAGAAACAGCTACTACTTATTGAATCCCTGTCATCTGCCAGGTAGATAGTAACTAGATTTTACAAGTGGGGAAACTGAGGCTTGAAGAAGACAAGCAACTTTTCCAAGGTCACAAAACTACAAAGTGACTGGAATCCAGCCATGTCTGACCAAAATGTATACTCGTCTAGTCCACACCACCACTTCTCCCCTCTACTAGGCGTGGTTTCACCATGTCAATTCAATACAGAGATAATTCAACAAGACTGCTAAAATAAGAGAATGCAGTTAACTGGGTCAAAGGAACATCCCCAAAGGCAGGACAAGTTCTCTTCTAGGAAATATGTGTTCCTCCCTGAAGCAGAGCCTTCTACCCCCAACTTCTTTTTCTTCAAATTCCTACCAGTAACAAGTCTCTCAGTTAAGTAAAATTACAGTCTCAAGAAAAATTTTTTACCAAATCTGCCATGTTTCATGCTCTCGATAAAATCTAAAACCAGCCACTTCTCACCTCTGACCAGATTTTCTCTTTGGTAAACATTTGGGCTCTCCTTAAGGGCTCACCTCCCAATGCATTCACATTCCAGTGTCTGCTCAGCTTCTGTGTGTCCCGGCAACAAGAGTGACTCCTATAGGAATCCATTCACAGAAGTTCTGAAATCTAAGCCCTTTACATCTACAAAATGGTTTGAATTACTTGGAAATGCTTCTAATTAAGATTATCATAACAAAAGCCAGCAATAAAAAGTAATAAAGTAACACCACAGTATGTGGAAATTTCCTATTAAGGGCTCAGAAGTCCAGGAAAGGACCCTCTCCG
The DNA here is from genome assembly GCF_000001405.40 of Homo sapiens. Classification (NCBI taxonomy): domain Eukaryota; kingdom Metazoa; phylum Chordata; class Mammalia; order Primates; family Hominidae; genus Homo; species Homo sapiens. The sequence continues at coordinate 172,126,748 of NC_000003.12, read as the reverse complement.
GCTCAGTTTTCTGACCCACAAGCTGCCCTCTCAAAGCACACAGGAAGAATTAAATTCGGCCACCTTTTTATATACTTTTAAGCAACTAGTTTGAGACGTTGTCCACCATACAATCCAGGAAAACAGAATTTTACAGCTGGATACTTAAGACCATTACAAAGTTGAAAGAAGCTGTCCAGATTTAAGACTTCAAGGCAAACACACTAAAAATGCTCTTTTAAAATGTAATGCTTTTAAGATTTTCCTTTCTAGATTTGAGTTACTAGAGCTTTGTTAAGCAACTGTTGGAAAGCCAGGCACACTTAGATTCTTGGTCTTGGAAGAACTACAGCTTTGAGGACATACACACACTGACTTGTACACATGAACAGATTATTCCAATTCTTCTCTCATTCTGCACCAAGTCCAAATTCAAGACTGACACTAGCCTCTACAGAGAGCAAAGGAAAAATGTGACAAAGATTTTCCAGCCAGCCCCGCCCCTCCTCCCGCACACCCTCAGCACATACAAGCACACAGCCGATTCTATGCACGTTGAATTCGGAGCCAGTTTATGTACCATGACATCAGTGCAGTATAATGAGCCAAGTTGAAACTCCATCTGGGACAAATAATGTCCAGGCACACTGTGACTTCTTTTGTTTATATACAGTGACTAAATATGTCTTGGTGGTAAATGAACTAACTCAAGATTTATTTCCCAAGGCCTCCAAAACGATATTCTGCACCCTGAAGCAACTCCCTGCCTCCAGTTCTTTTTCCAAGGCTATGCATAAGTGATTTTTAGCAGAACACATGATTTTTGAAACATATAATTAACATCTTCAGGAGAGTCAAAGTCCAAGCAGTCCTTCATCAACCTAAAACAAAGAAAACGAGGAACTCATGAGCAACCCGGTACGGTATCACTGCTCATAGTAAAAATCTGCGTGACACTTAATTCTGTATTCCCCTTAGAAAACAGGAAAAGTAGAAGCGAGAGATTTAAGAAATACCTGTGACGCGAAGTGGCCATTTTCTTTCCTTTTGAAGGATACACTTTGTTTCTTTTATTCTGGCATTACTCTGTAAACTCAGAATGAAAAACCACCTAATGTGTTCAAATCTTACAAGGTTTTAAATTTCTTTAGTCTCAAAGCTGCATCTAGGGTGATGCAATTTTTTAATGGAAATGAAGGACGGGGTTTGGGAAGAAAAGGTAGGCAAAAGGCCCTCTCCTAACTCCAGGGTGAGACTCCCACGGGGGAGGAACCTCTACTACCTCTACTATCTCTACCTACTACTACCGTCTACTACCCTTCTCTGGCCACCACCATCTCTCAGCAACTGCTGACCCGGGAGGGAGCAGCCCTCCTACTGCCAATCTCAAGAAAAGAACCATTCCCTAAGGAAAAAAGGGAGCCGCTGCTGTGACCCGGACTGGGGCTTCGGAAGATTTCACTCCCAGCTCCTTTTGCAAACACAAGCCTGACCTCCAGGCCTTCCGACACTACCACTGCTGCTTAGTCCTCAATTTTCAGAAGCTGGGGAGCCAGAGGCACTGCCACCTTCTGGAGTTAATGTGGAGATCATGTAAGATAATGAAGAGGAATGGCCTCTATAAAGTTTACAATTTACTACTGTGCAAAAACCAAGTGCCATCTCGCTCCCCAGCTGTTTACCTGAACAAGACTAAGAGAGGTGAGTCCAAGCCAGGCAGCTCCACCTTTCCCAGAAGGTAGGATCTGAGTTTTGGAAGAGGAGATAAGTGGGTTCAAATTCCAGCTCTGTGATTTGCCAGTTGCAAATACTCAACCTTTCTCGCCTCGGGTTTTGTCTATAAAGATGACTGCCGCCTTACAGCGTGTGTAATTACTGGATGAAATAATGTGTGTAAGGGCTCAGCACCAGCCCCAGCACCTCGTAAGCCCTCCCCAATAGTCACTAATCCTTCCCTCCACCTCGGCAGGAAGAAAGAGATAAAAATATCCATTAAAAGCCACTGTTTCCAACAATTTTAACTTAGTGTCCACAGATAACCACTCAAGTAAAAGTTGAGATTGGATTGAGACTAAAAGCATTCTAGTAATCAGCAGGCTTCCAAAGTAGCACTTAAGTTTGAGGTAAATGCCAAAAATTAACACTTAGCATTCTTTCAAAGTCCTAACTCTGACCTTTCATACAGTTTTTAGATTGCTAAGGTATGGAAATCTCTGGAAGAGTCAACCTTACAGCATCTTTTGTCCTACATTTCCCTCTAGGTTTAAGAGTAATTGTTAGAAAATGAGTCACTGTCCCCCTCCAAAGACAGCATTCACACCTGGTGTGACACTTATCTTTCTGCCTTGTTAATGGAGGCTCTTTAAAGTTCCAAGATTGGCCCAGGCGTGGTGGCTCACGCCCGAAATCCCAGCACTTTGGGAGGCCAAGGCGGGAAGATCACTTGAGGCTGGGACTTCGAGACCAGACTGGCCAATGTGTTGAAACCTCATCTCTACTAAAAATTTAAAAATTCACAGGGTGTGGTAGTGGGTGCCTGTAATCCCAGCTACTTGGGAGGCTCAGGCAGGAGAATTGCTTGAACCAGGGAGGCAGAGGTTGCAGTGAGCTGAGATCGCGCCATTGCACTCCAGCCTGGGCGACAGAGCAAGACTTCATCTAGAGAGAAAAAAAAAAGTTCCAAGTGTGCAGAAGTAGTCAATAAAAAGTAGGAGCACTCTCATCCCGAGTAAACCACTTTAAAAATGAGAAAGCAAGAGACCGTGGGAAGTAAGCTGGATGTGGACACCGATCTATGAAAGGATAATGTCTCCTAACACCCAACTCCACCATCAATTGATTCCCTGTGTCCTGAAAACAGACAGATATTATTCATATAGATAAACCTAGTATCTGATTTCCTATCACAAACCCTAAGAGAAAAATATGGATGCCATTCATTTGTAATTCTTATTAATATTTTATATTATAGTTTTACATTCAGTCATAACTAAAGCCATCAAGTAAATTATAAAGAAATAGCCATTCTATATAGATGTTTTCCATGTGACTTTTTTGCCAAGGTGATAAGAGTTTAAATGGGTTCTAAACAGATCCATTCTGGCAATATAAAACAAAAATTAAAAATTAGCTGCATTACTGTGGCCTATTTAACTACCAAACAACATCATTAATTAAAGCACATCCTTCTGTATGTCACAGCTTCTCCCTTGAACTAGAATGACAACTCAACACTCCAATATAAAGACCAAAGAAACTTCTGAGACAGTAACATGCTCAGTGATTAATGTTTCTGACTACTGCTTAGAAAACACAAAAACATTTTACCATATTCCAGCCTGGGTGACAAGATGAGACCCCAACTCAAAAAAAAAAAATTATCAACTTCTGATTGCATGAATATAACAACAACAACAAAAGGTTTGGTTAAGGCCTGGCACAGAGGGTCACACCTGTGTAATCCCACATTTTGGGAGGTCTAGGCAGGACGATGGCTTGAAACCAGGAGTTTGAGACCAGCTTGGGCAACATAAGGGGACTATCTCTACAAAAAATAAAAATAAGTAGCCAGGCCATGCTGGTGCATGCCTATAGTCCCAGCTACTCAGGAGGCTGAGGTGAGAGGATAGCTTGAGCCCAGAAGGTTGAGGCTGCAGTGAGCTGGGACTGTATCACTGTACTACAGCCTGGGGAACAGAGTGAGTCTCAAAAACAAAACATATTAATGACCCTTCCTGAAAACTAAAAGTCATGTAACATAATTGGTCAATAACACAAGTCCATGTCCCTTCAAATCTAAGGTGTGGCTAACAAGAACTGATTTGCATTTTTTTAAACAACAGAAATGGAACCTTAGTAACAAGTTTACTGATATACTTTCTAGTCAACCTGCACCCAAAACTAGACCACAATTACCTCTGGATCTTTGCTGTCTCCACTTAACTGCCCAATTATTTGCAAAGCAGAAGCCCTTGGAAGGGTAATTTGCTAAATGCAGACTGTCCATTTTATTCAAATGCTTGTCTACTATGCTGTAAGGAGCAAGGAAGGGGCAGGAAAGAGAAGACCCAGGAAGGGAGGGCCAAATTATTCTTGTTCATCAAAGTGCTGAACACACCTGCTGCTCAGGTAAAACACATTCCCTCTCAACAGATGATCTGATCTGATGGTCACCTGTTAAGGAAAAAGGCCCAGGGCAGGGAAGAAATACCAATGTAGGCATTAACACTAAAGCAGCACATGCATAATGTTTCTTCTGGGGACCCACCATGTCTAGCTTCAAGTTATTGTAACATTAAAGCTGACCAGAAAATGACTAAGAGGCATCTAGTTCTGGCCAATGCCAATTTAAATGAGGGAACAAATATAATCTAAAGGCAGCTAAATCCAAGATTACCTAGATAAAACACTACAGCACTTCAGCAACTGGCTCCTTGGCAGGCTGTTTATTTTTGCATTTGGAAATGTAGGAGAGAGAAAAAAAAAAAGAACGAGAATGAGTATCTGCATTTGGAACTTGGAGATTAATGTTACGAATTTTACGCAGCTTGCTTACTACTGTCATGTTTGGAGTGTAACGCATATATTTTATATAGTCATATGTTTAAATCAATCATTTGGACTAAAAAAGAAAAGAGTCTGCCTACATGAAAACGATTATGTGCAAACATATTCTGGATGCAGAAGTGTCTCGTCTTAACACATTCTGGATGCAGAAGTGTCTCATCTTTTCTTCCTGTGTTTATAGACTACTTTTACTGTACTATGAGATACATCAGTAGCTATCACATCACATTCAACATGACAAATACACATTTTCAAAACAAGAAAAGGAGAAATCAGAGTTTGGAAATCTATCCAATTTAATCTTATGTCTTTAAAAGTTAATATGGAAATGCTTTATGGCCGGGCATAGTGGCTCACACCTGTAATCCCAGCACTTTTGGAAGCCATGGCAGGAGGATCCTCTGAGCCCAGGAGTTCAAGACCAGCCTGGGCAACATAAGGAGACCCTGTCTTAAATACTTACATACATACATACATAAATGCTTTAAATAAAAATTCCTCATCTAGGTAATACCAGGAAAAGTTTACCCTTAAAAACAACTCTTTCAATAAATACTTAAAGACTCAATTCTTGGAAACTGTAAAAAAGAATATAAACACAAGTATTTGCATCTCTGCGCTTGGACTGCTTTTACCTTGCATCTGTGTTTAATGTCTCCTAACTAGACTGTAAACAGTAAAACTAAGGAATAGGATTGTTTCTTTTGGCCTGTCTATGCTTTAGTGAATGTTCCATGCGGCACTTATTGGGGGCCTCAAATCCTAAAAACTAAAAGCCAAAAAACAAAACAAAACAAAAAAACCCACACGGGTCCTAACATGTAAGAGGTAAAGTTGAAATCCTTCTACAAAGCAACATGAACCAGCGCCCAGCCTAATTCATTTTACAAGTCATGGGGCAAGTAGATAACTAAAAGATTTTAAAACACATTATCAGTTTGATACACAATGCACATGCCTGAAAAAATTTTAATCATTTTTCTGTATTTAAAATATGATATGCATGAGCACAAGATGCAATTTAAAGTTTAAAAAGTTAACAATTTCCAGATTCCAAACCCGGATGACCACAGAGTTCAGGCAGGCTCGGAAACTAAGTGAAGTGGACAGAGTAGGCACCGAAGAGGACATTCCGCATCAACAGCAAATGGCTGCAACTTCTGTGCCAATTGTTGCCAAGTAGGAAGGACCAGCCCAGTGTTAACATATCTTCTGGGTTGTTGTTGTTGTTTTTTTTTTGAGACAGAGTTTTGCTCTTGTTGCCCAGGCTGGAGTGCAATGGCGCAATCTCGGCTCACTGCAACCTCCGCCTCCTGGGTTCAAGCGATTCTCCTGCCTCAGCCTCCTGAGTAGCTGGGACTACAGGCATGCAGCATCACGCCCGGCAATTTGGTAGAGACGGGGTTTCACCGTGTTGGTCAGGCTGGTCTTGAACTCTAGACCTCAGGTGATCCACCCGCCTCGGCCTCCCAAAAGTGCTGGGATTACAGGCGTATGTCTTCTGGTTTTTCCAATTAAACAGAAAAATCCAGAGTTTTATATAAATCTTCCCATTTTTAATATTGGTACTGAAATCTTTTTCTTTTAAACTAAAGGTAAAAAAACAAAAACAAAAACAACACACACACCCCCCCCCATGCCTGTATGACAAAGGCAATAAGCTACTTTTCAAGCCCTGATATAGATGAATTAAATCTGTTCATTGCCTTCATCCTTCATCCATTCAAAAAGATTTACTGAATGTTACTTCAGATGCCAGGCACAGCATGAACAAGAGAGGGACAGTCCCTACCCACCCTGAGTTAACAAGGAAATCAGACAGCCAAAAATTGCAATAATTTGAAAACAATCATAATGTTAAAATCACCTTAGATTTTAAAATTGCCATTATTCTGCAGTGCAATGCTACCATGCCAGTATTTTACCTTAATCCTTCCTGTTTTAAGGGCAGCTCAATTTCTAGCATTTGAAGGATACTGACTACATCTTATATCTTATTATTATTGCCTTTGGCTAATTAAATTCTGAAGTGTCTCTCAACCCAGACAGCTCAGAGCTGCCATAATTATATGTCCTATGTTCTAATTATTGGGGGTGCCACATATAACAACACCCTCTGATAACATGGCATCAACATTTTCCTTTGTAAGACTGAGATTCTGCATAGGCTATGCCTTTTTGGAAGCTTTTGTAGTGAGCAAAATTGGCAAAACTAACTCAGAGAGATCTGAAAAGTCAGACCACAGATCTGGATAAAATCACACCTTTTTTTTATAGTTAAAAGGAGGCCCTCAAAGCAAGGGTTGCTGCCTCCGCAGCTGGAAAAGTGGATCTGGTTGTGGGGGGTGCTTGTGATCTGCCCCACTGTGGAGTCAGTAATTCTGAGCAACAGGCATCAAGCGGACGGGTGGACCTTCGGACTGGAGAATCAGAGGACAAATACATTCACTAACAAAGACACTAAGTAGCAGAAGTTCAAGCAAAGAGATCACCGACTATGCAGATAAGGTTTGTTTGTAGTGCCCCTAATAGCTCTCCACTGCATATGTAATCCCTATAATGTATTCTCCTTTAATAAAACAGAAACGGATTACTTGATGTACAAAGTCTGGATAGTTCTAGCCTTCACTTCATCTTAGATCTGATCTGACCCAGGCTCAGCCTCCCCACAGATACTTTTCCTAGCCTGGTCTGTTTTCCTGCCCACTTATCCCAATCCTCAATTCCTCCTCTGAACTCCTAAGCACTGTGACACTCTGCAATCCAAGCACTCTCCTGTGATTTCACGTATGTGTAAATACAGCCTTTTTTTTTTTTTTTGGTAGGCCACATTTTGCTCCTCAACTAGACTGCTCATTCCTTTAGGGCAAGAACAGTGCCTTATTCATCTTTCTGTCACCAGCACCTAATACACTGCCAGCATATAAGACATTTGATAAATACTTATTAAAATGAACAAATCTATTATTCAGTCACTCCTAAATTTAGTCATAAATCCTATCCTCTCATTCTTTTTTTTTTTTTTTTTTTTTTTAAGGCAGAGTCTCACTGTGTCACCCAGGCTGGAGTGCAGTGGTTCAATGTCGGCTCACTGCAAGCTCCGCCTCCCAGGTTCACGCCATTCTCCTGTCTCAGCCTCCCAAGTAGCTGGGACTACAGGCGCCCACCACCACGCCTGGCTAATTTTTTTTGTATTTTTAGTAGAGACGGGGTTTCACCATGTTAGTCAGGATGGTCTTGATCTCCTGACCTCGTGATCCGCCCGCCTCAGCCTCCCAAAGTGCTGGGATTACAGGCATGAGCCAACATGCCAGCCTATCCTCTCATTCTTTTCCACCCCAAATTTCAAAGGAGAGAGGCTGACGGTATCTTGACTCCAGAGGGCTTTATAAATTTGAGTGGTAGAGGAAGCATGAACGGCAGTCAGCAATAATAATTTCATTTAAGTATTTGCACAGGTTGTGCATTTCTCACGCATCTTGATGCTGAAGAATGTGATCCAAGACCGAGCTTCCCCATACTTGGTTTTCCATACCCAACATATGACCAGCCTCTTTCTACTTTCTAGCTCAAGTCCCAGCCCATAACAGGATTCTGCCACAAAAGGAGCTCTTCTATAATGTTATTTAGCAATAATAGCTGCAGTCTCTTTTTTAACTGTCACTCCCATTCTCATCTGAATATCCTTCTTTCTCCTGGGTAATCGTCTCAAGAGTTGTTTATTCATTTTTCTACAATATACTGATTACAAAACTTCCTTTCTGTTGGGATTTCTGAGGAGTAGACAAACTCTGTTATGTAAGCAAAACTCTTCACGGGTCCCCCGACACCGTGGCTATCAGTATATTTAAGGAGTAAACCTGTGAGGTGACAGGATTTGAACTACTGAATGCAAGACGGAAGCCATCAAGAAGAAAGTTATTAAGAAGATATCAACCAGAACAGAAAAGGTCACTGGATTAGGAGGAGGGGCACATTTGATGGAAAAGACATGCTGATGATGAGCACCATCTGAGGGTGGAAAGCTTTAATATGTTGAACATACTGTCTGGAAATGTGTATTCAAAAGAACACTCCAGGAAAAAACTCTGGTTACATATTCTGCCTAGAGGAAACAAGGGCTTTCAAAAGAAGAAACAAAAGAGGGAAAAAAACTCTCTCCATGAAATGACATGCTAAGTGCTGATCAACAGGAATAGGCAAAGTCAAGAGAATTGGACATGATTGAGGCAATTGCCTTCTGCCTTCCAGGGCAAGTAGATGATAAATTATCCTGAGCTAGCAGGAGAAGCGAGTTTTCTGTATATGTTTAAGGAGTTCTACTTTCTGAAGAAGAAGCATTAAAAACACTCAGCAATATTCTAGAAGAATAGAAGAATTAAAAGAGGCAAGAGAGAAGAAGAATAGTATGACAAATCATTTACTCGATGTCCTCCATATGCTAAATGCTAGTCAGGTCAAAGAGGTATCTAATCCAATCCAGTTCCACTAGGAATTGACCCTCAGTGAATACATATTTAAGCAAAGTCACTAAGAATATAATATAAAGTGGCACACTACTCTCATGCAGGTCACAGATACCCTTATAAGTATCACGTTAAATTAACAAATCAGTAAACTCTGCCACCCTATGTCGACACTTCTGTTTTTAATCTAATGGTTTAACTGGTAGCTGCTATAATTCTTCAGAAATTATTAAAATATTAAATCAATAAAAAGTCAGAATTTGGGCTGATGTTTATTCTTTTGTGCGCAAAACTGGCTGCTACATTTTAAAATCGCTAAAATGCAGAAGTCCATAACAAACACAGGTAAGTTAATATACCACAAGCTTCTGAAAATGTCAACAAAGGCATCAATTTTCTGATTATTGAAGGGCATTCATCATCATTTATAATAGCCACACATTAAAAACTCAGGTTGAAACCTGATTTTTATAACTCAACAATAGTATACAATTAGGCATATTAAGGGAAGCAAACTTTATTTAGCTAAGCTAGGCTGTAGTTATTCAGAGGTGGGAGAAATTAATGGTGATACAAAGCAGAGATAACTTTATTTGGAAAATAATACTTCAAAATAAAGCTACTCAATTTCACTTTTGGTTATATATACGGTTATATATACAAGAGAAATAAAAAACATGTCCACACAAGAATCTGTGCATAGCAGCATTATTCATAACAGCCAAAAAGTGAAAATAACTCAGATGTCTATCAGATCATGAGTGGATTAATAAAATGTGGTAGATCCATGCAGTAAAATATTTGGCAATAAAAAAGGAATACAGTACTGACACATGCTGCAATATGAATGAACCTTAGAAATGTGTTGAGTGAACCGGGCGTGGTGGCTCACACATGTAATCCCAGCACTCTGGGAGGCCAAGGCGGGCAGATCACTTGAGGTCAGGAGTTCAAGACCATCCTGGCCAACATGGTGAAATGCCATCTCTACTAAAAATACAAAAATTAGCCAGGCGTGGTGGCATATGCCTGTAATCCCAGCTACTCGGAAGGCTGAGGCAGGAGAATTGCTTGAACCCGGAAGGTGGATGTTGCAGTGAGCAGAGATCGTGCCATTGCACTCCAGCCTGGGCAACAGAGCGAGACTCCATCTCAAAAAAAAAACAAAGATGTTGGGTGAAAGATGCCAGACACAAAAGACCAAATGTTATGTAATTTTATTTATATGAAATTCCAGAATAGGCAATATCTACCTACAGAGACAGAAAATAAGTGAATTAGTGGTTACCTAGGACGGGGGGAAGGGAGAGAGAAACAGGAAATAGGGAGTGATCCCTCTAGGGTTCTTTTTAGAGTGATAAAAATGTTCTAAAATTAATTGTAGTTAAGGTTGTACAATTCTGTGAATATACCAGATTCCAATGATTGTATACTTTCAGTGGGTGAATGGTATGACATGTGAATTATACCTCAGTAAAGCTGTTAAATAAGGAAAACTGTGTAAGCTGCTTCTGTTCACATTGTTTCTTGTTATTTATTTTTAGTTGATAATGCTTTTAAAAGCTTCATTCGTAATGAGGATGACTTTTCTTTTTAAGAAAATAATCATCCTTTTCACTCTTGCCCTTTCCCTCCTACCTGCGCAAAATGACAAGCCAAGGTTTCAAACTTAATTTGACTTCAAATAATGAAAATTAACAGTGTGTCTTATTTAGAGAGCCAGAACGCAACAGAGAATCCTGCCAAGAACTAGTCCTAATTACATCCAGAACCAGCAGAACAGAAATCAGAAGGAGGAGGGCTGTGGGAACTGCAGAGCTTTCTCATAACTGTGGTAGTTCTTTTGCATATATAGAAATGTTTAGAATGTCCTTTGCACAGCTGCAAAGTATTAAGAACGCTGTAAATACATACAAGGTAAGCTTCACCATACACACTCCTAACAGATATTCAGAGGCAGAATCCTATGGCCAGGGGATGGCTCTTAACAACTGTATGATGTGAGAGGTGGCTGAGGTGCCACATACCTTAGGATGCCACCGCCGAGGGTCTGTTGTACAGTGCCTGCAATGTCCACCCCTAGAGTCAATCCTGTGCCTGCAAAAGGTTCTTATTAAGATGAAAAGGTGTTGCTTCAGTGAGAAAGCACAGTAAAAGCCTCAGAAAACATTCATATAGATCACTTTCTCTGGTATGTCTGCTGTAGCCTGATCCTTTAACATGGAACCACCTGAGCACCACATTACGCAGGCTCTTAAGGGCAGGCAGCAAACATCAGCAGGTGCCCAAAGCAAGCATTCAAAACTCATGCAGCCCCACACTCTGGGATCCTGTCTTGGAGACTCACCTTTGTTCTTTCTTCTTTTGAATGGCCCTCTATCTCTCCCCTTTCCCTACATCCTCTTGTGTTTCTCTGCCACTTTTGGTTTTCCTTCTCCTTCACTCTGTCTTCCCCTTGTGCCTTCACCTGGGTTCAACCCACAGGCCCCAAGCCTCTACCACGCACACCTAGGCCAATGCTAAATGTTAGAACCCAAAGGAAAGAACTGAGGCTTGAAAGAATGAGGAGACACAGGATGGAGACTCTGGGAGCAGAATGAGGAAGAAAAATGTCAAGCACAGAGGCCACTGCCTAGGCTGAGCCCCAGTGATGTAGAGGCAATGACAAAGCATGGTAAATCTTGGGCTGGTCCTGCTGAGAGGGACATTTCTAACACACTTTACCCACTTAACAATTTTGCCCATTAAGGAAAAGTTAGAGTTAATGCCAAGTAATAGCTTGGAACCAAGGATGTTAATGCTTCTAACACAAACATATTTACTAATTAAAAAGACAAAACAGTTCCTTCTTGTGAGATTTTTTAAGTGTACCCCCACTTTTTCATAAAGCTTGAGTATTTTGACTATTTATAAAACAGATACATTAACAGATTCTTCTTATTAGCTTTAGAGAAAGCTTTAATAAGATTAAAAAAAGATTTAATAAAAATGCGGGTTTTTGTTTTTGTTTTCTTTTTAGAGATGGGGTCTCACTTTGTTGCCCAGGCTGGTCTCAAACTCCTGGGCTCAAGGGATTCTCCTACTTCAGCCTCCTGAGTAGCTAGGATTACAGGCATGCACCACCTCATCCAGCTTTGAAAATATGGTTTTATTAACCAAAATTGTTAAGCAGCTTCTGCTTAGAGTTGAGGTAAGATATGCAAGGTAGGGAAATGCCACGTAGCCTGCTGGGCAAGCTGAATTACAGACATGTGGGAGAAATCAACAAAACATAAACATGGTGTACAACAACATGGATGGGTGGCCTCAGGTCTCTTGGCTACACAGGCAAATGGGAATGAGGTGACCACATCTGAGAGACCTAAGTCATTTTCCAAGTTTACTCACATTTGACTAAATACCTTGTCTTTTTTTTTTCTTTGTATTAGTAATTCTTTTAATTGGGAGACCAAACACTGCATCTTGAAACCATCCACAACACTCTGCAACCTTCCCATGAACTACTTGAGCACAGTGAGCAGAAGAGCAGGCAGAGAATGACAGAGAGAGAGGCCAGCACTAACACGGAAGGCTGGCAGCCAGGCAGCATGACTGGATTTCACTCCAGGTGTAAGAACGTGGCCTGAGGTAGGCCAATGACATCAGAAAGTTTTTATTTGGAAAAGACCCCTCAGGATCTATGTGGAGACTGCTTTCTGGTGGGGCAAAAGGGAAAGCAGAGAGACCAGCGAGAAGGGTTGTCCTGTCCTACCCTAGTGAGATGACGGCACGGGGTCCAGCAGTGGTAGTGGAAGTGAAGTGGATACGGCAGAGTATGGATTCAGCACACACTCCTGAGATAAAGCCAACAGAACATGCTAAAGACTGAAGAGGAAGATGAGAACACAGAGTGAAGACTGTAAAGTGGGCGGTAAGGAAGGAGAGGAAGTGGAGAAATACTGCCAAAGAGGGAAAAAGGGACAGAAGGTAGCAACTGGAAGGGGATGTGGAATCAACTGAGGAGGTTTTGTTTTATTGGGTGGGGAGAGGTGCAGGTGTTTACGTTTTTAAGATAAAAGATACTACTGTATGTTGGTGGAAGTAATCCAGCAGAGGAAGAGACTGAGGAATCAGGAAGGGAGTTATCTGCATCAGTGGTGAGAAGACATGAAATGCATTCAACTAACAAACATTTACTGAGCACCTATTATATATTTTTTGTTCTTAAGAGGTTGATAGTACAATGCAGGAGAAAATAATATAAATTATTAAGCAGCAAGGTCAGCTCCAACCAAGTATATGCAAAGAATATACTACGATAGACAGAGGTTGGATATACTGTATGATAGATTAGAGCAGGGGGCATGTACTGACATCAAATAAATGATTAACTTATTTGAATTATTAGTATATTTTGGGTATTTTCCAAGCAATTGCTCCCAATTCTACTTTTCACAAAATAAAAATTCGCTTTTATGCTTCTGAAGGATGTACAAAGATAAAATATCTAGTTGTAAAACTGTGCAAGCCCAACTGTTGCAATAAAAATTTTTAATTAATGTTAGAGATAATAGTTCAATCCCTAATAATTTGTTAAAGTTTCACTTACTGTCTAAATTGTTTCCCCCAAGTGCTACTTGACTGAGTTCACAAATAACTCTATTCCACAATGTTCAGTGACTAGTGACAAAGGAGATTCAGAGAAAATAAGTACCGTGATTTTATGAGCTACACATTTGGAAGGACTATTCCAGGAGCAAGGGTGGGTTCACACTGCCCTACGTGTCTTGTCGAGATCACTCCTGTGTGAAGCCAAAACCTGACCCTCTGAGCATGCAGCTCTGGCCAACCAAGCAAACTAGTCAAGCACAATACAGCATGAATAAACAGTCATTTTATTTCGAAGACTTTTATGCAGTCTGAAAATGACTCACTTCAGAAGTCATCCATTTTTCAATACTTCAAGAATACAAACTGAATGAGGGAAGATTTTGTTCTCTAAAATCACATTTTAAAAAACGATACAGTATTTCTACAACAAAAACACTTACCTCTAGAAATGCTAAGGTTTGAAATCACAAACCTTTGAATCCCAAAATAAATCAAATACTGTGTTACTGTTTCCCACTTAGACAATTTGACTTAAATTTCCCTCTTCCTACACCAACCTGCTGAGCTGCATCTCCATTCACCAAGTGGGGCATCATGGCTACCTCTCCGTTCAGCAATGGTGGCAGTTCCAGAGGGATTTGGTCGGTCATCATCATTGTGACGTACATTCATGGAGAACTTCCCTCAACTGGCTTCCTGCAAGAGAACCGCCGCTTTTTAAAAAGGACTCAGAACCACAAAAATCACCTGTAACACAACAAGTCACATAACAATCTAAGTGCTCCATCGTGAAACCCAAGTTATTCTAATTTGAGAGCCCTGTATTATTATGTCAGGCCCCAAAGAGGGGTAGAACAAAGGCACGGAAATAGCCTGAACTAGGAGACAAAAGACCAGAATCTCTAAGTGGCCATGTGAACATAACTTTCCTGTATCTCAGATATATCCAGGGCAACTTCTTCAGTCAGGCTTAAAGGTAGATTCCGTTGTTTCTATTCCGTTTATTCCATTTATTGTAATGAAATTCATACACATTTTCAAAATAACACAAAGCCTACTTTCATCCCATAGTGGTATCTGCCACCATCATTTAGCTTTGCAATACAATAGAAGGAAAATAACAGTTAATTCCTATTTACAATTATAACTTGTTCCTTAAGAAGTGTTTATTCTTCAATTATGCCCAAAATATATGGCAAAGATGGACAAAGAAGTATAAACGAACAAATATAAATACACACACACGCTCTCACACAATTTTAAATGATCTCAGGAACAAATTGCCATATAGCTCGCAGTTAAATTTATCACTCATAATAGAGTCCCCAAAATTTCAAATTCAAGGACATTTGGTCAATGAACCCTTTAATACTTAATATTCAAATCAGACAAAATAATGGGGCAAAATTGTTAATAACTGCCTCAAATATGTCTCAGGTAGATATGACAGAAATAAAATACTTATTCTCATTCTTAAACACGTCCACTCTAAACGTCAAGCATACCTCTCCTCCCTCCATCCCACCCAAAAAAAGTCCTCCCTTGGAAGTATCAAAAGATATATAAAAGCCACCCAAGAGATTATAAACTTTTTTACTTTAAATAGGCAAAATTTTACCTGTTTATTATACACCCATTTGGAGAAACTAATTATTTTAAGCACCAAAAAATGAAGTCTTATCCCAACTAGAAAAGCAAATTCTATAATAACAGGTCTTATAATTCGGTGTTAATAGTACCATCATGCTGTTTTATGAGGCAATTACTCAGTTCCTAAGCAAATAAAAGTACCAAGCCCAAAGCCTGATAGTTTATCCTCATGAAAGAAAACAGATTCTTTTACAATTAAAATTAAGATAATCCCTGTTGACACTATCATGACTTAATTGTTTGAACTATGAACAGGTCAAATGATGGAGAAGAAATCTAATGTCTATTTCAATTTCATTCCTAATATACTTTATCTTACTAATAATGCATAAGAGAAAAATGGCTATTTTCTCAAATTGATGACATTACACAGGCCTATCTTTTTTTTTTTTTTTTTTTTTAATGGAGTCTCACTCTGTTGCCCAGGCTGGAGTGCAGTGGCATGATCTCAGCTCGCTGCAACCTCCACCTCCCAGGTTCAAGCGATTCTCCTGCCTCAACCTCCTAAGTAGCTGGGATTACAGGCACGCACCACTATGCCCGCCTAATTTTCATATTTTTAGTAGAGACAGGGTTTCGCCATGTTGGCCAGGCCAGTCTTGAACTCCTGACATGACCTCAGGTGATCCACCTACCTCGGCCTCCCAAAGTGCTAAGTATGATGTCTTATTTAATGTTTCTTCAAAATCGCAGGTTGGATTAACAGGGTGGTTATTTACATTAGGGGGTCTGAGTATAAGGATCTAAGGGTGGAGAAGCAATTTCACCTTTTCTTCCCTCCTCCTTGGGCACTTGCTATTGAGGCTGTGGTGCAGACTGTGGCTCTGTTGTCTTCTCTGCATCCCCTCTGCTACATTAGCGAGTGCCAAAGCCCTCTCCTGCTTGGCATAGCTCTGACATCTTACAGGTGAGCCTAAGGATAGAACCTCTTCTCTCTTATCCAACAAGGCAAGAGGAGTAAACCCATTTCAGGGCCTCACTCTAGGTCCCTTCAGCCTCCATAGGTCCTTCTATTAGGCCAGCGTACAGTAAATAATGATACAGGTTTAGAGAGTTCAAATGGGAGGGAGATGAGGGTCCTTAGGACCTGCTTTGGGCTGAAGCTGTCTATACTCCATGTGGTCCAACCCATCTAACCAAAGTTTTGAACACTTGGATTTGCAGCTCAAATCCAAATAATGGTGCTACTTTGTTCCTATTTCTCATTGTTTCTTGTGTGAGTCCTGTGAGGGAATGGGGAGGTTGAACTGAGTAAGAGAAGACAGTTGTGATCTGGTACAATATTTAGGCATTCCTGGTCTCCTGTCTCTAGTACCGAAGAATGTCTGAACACCAACAACACATCTAACACTAACAACTCTAACCTTCTGGTAGGCATTGTGTTAACTAACAGGACCGCTGTCAATGAGACATAGCAATCCAACCCCGCTAAATAGCACCCTTAAGCACAGGTGTCAAGTCCTAAGCAGGGCATTAACTCCAGGTTCTGCAAGTGTGGGATAAGGTAGATGGATCCCCCAGACCCAGGCCCACAAAGGCCTTACAGAAGTAGGATAGAAGAGTATGGGGACTGACACAGATGTGCAAAACCATCTCTTTTCATAAGGCATTTTACCCCCCAAATAAACCAAAGAAGTCCACTGGCACAAGGAGATCATTATATTTGCTTTTGAAAACTTCATAGACAACTTTAGGTGAGATGCCTGAATCTTTTTCTCTACTACGTGATGGACTTTCCACCTCATACAGTGTTCAGTGGTTACTAGAAATGACTGGGAAGGGATGGAGGAAGGGGAGACAGGGAGGCTGTATGTACAAACACTCCTGAGAAAGATCAAGTGGGAACATATGAACATCATACACTCCTAAGTTTCAATTCAACCACCCAACAGTCACACCGTTGATCATGGAGAAAACAGAAGAAATAATAAAAGTGAATAAAGGCCACTGTGAGCCCAGCAGTCTCACTTAGCCATAACCAGTATTGCTGATCTTTTCCCTCAGCCACCAGCTTGCTAGAATCCAAGGCCTTCGGCCGGGCGCGGGGCTCACGCCTGTAATCCCAGCACTTTGGGAGGCCGAGGCGGGCGGATCACGAGGTCAGGAGATCGAGACCATCCCGGCTAAAACGGTGAAACCCCGTCTCTACTAAAAATACAAAAAAATTAGCCGGGCGCAGTGGCGGGCGCCTGTAGTCCCAGCTACTTGGGAGGCTGAGGCAGGAGAATGGCGTGAACCCGGGAGGCGGAGCTTGCAGGGAGCCGAGATCCCACCACTGCACTCCAGCCTGGGTGACAGAGCAAGACTCCGTCTCAAAAAAAAAAAAAAAAAAAGAATCCAAGGCCTTCTTTGTAATCCCTAACAGTTTCACCAGAGATAAACCAGACTTCATCCTGACAAGAATATAAGGTAACAGATTCAGCTAGATGGGGCCTACATGCAGCCAACGATGTTTAAATCCCCATTTCTGTGCTCCATGCACACACAGAGAGTACTTTTATTTGCCTAGAATGCAAGAGACATACAAAGAAATGAATTATTTCGAGGCAAGGAACTGCCCAACTACTTAAAAGCCAACTGCCTGCCAAGCTGTCCCTTAAAATGATCATAAAATAGAAATGACTTAGTCTATGCTCCATAGAAAACAGACTAGAGAAAAGGCAAGGAGGAAAAGCATAAAAGCATGAAAACATAAAACTTAGCGTTCACAGTAGTATCTTTTTGGTTATTCCCCAGGCATGAAAAGGGAAACGTAGTGAGTGTTCCCAGTAGAAAGTCACAGATTCAGGTTGTGAAGTGGGGAAACCACATTGCAAAACCATCAACAGTTAAAGCAGGTTAAGTCAGGCCAGGAGGCCTGGGAAGGCTTGTCATGAGCAGTCATCACTCTATAGTCACAGCAACCCAAAAGTGAACCTCCTCTGTTTTAACCAGTAACTGAGACAAAACTACACGTGGACTTAACTCTCAACAGGGTGGCTCAACTCAGCTGTGAGGAGACCTCAGGAATACCTACCTGATGAAAGCCGACAAGGCTTTTCAATGGAATTAAAAGAGGAAGCAATGGATGTGGAAGGCTTTCATCCATACAGTTAACTTTAAGAACTAAAGCTTACTCTATTTGTTTGTAATGATTGCGAATGGAAATTACACATGTTCTTCATTAAAGAGCAGGCTGGCCACAGCTTTTTTCTTAGGGATTTCAGGACAGTTTATAAGAATACTGTATTCAGTCATAAGGTGATGGATGAGGATGTTACTGAAACATTTTGACCTTACATATACAGAGCTATTATCACCCCACCTCTACTTTTTTTTTTTCTTTTTTTTGAGACAGAGTCTCACTCTGTTGCCCAGGATGGAGTGCAGTGGCGTGATCTCAGCTCACCACAAACTCCGCCTCCTGGGTTCAAGCTATTCTCCTGCCTCAGCCTCCCGAGTAGCTGGGACTACAGGCACGTGCCACCATGCCCAACTATTTTTTGTATTTTTAGTAGAGACGGGGTTTCACTATGTTGACCAAGCTGGTCTCGAACTCCTGACCTTGTGATCCGCCCGCCTCGGCCTCCCAATAAGTTCTTATGCTTAATTTTAATGTTTTTTTTTCTTTCTCTTTTCTTCATTAACCACACTCCCTCCAGTCTCAGGGCCTTTTCCTAAATTTGCTGTCTTAAATTTTCTTTGGGCTGAGCGGCCAGATTGTCAGTTACATACACACACAGAGAGGAGTCCCTGAGTACAGTTTCAGAAGTTCCTCGTGCGCTTTGTGCAGTCTTCCTTTTCACCACCAGCTGATCATCAGCTGTGAAGGTAGCTGAGCAGGCCAGATGTGTGATCTCTGGATAACCGCACTGTAACTCATTTTCATCTTAGTCAAAAAGTCTCAGTAGAAACCACCCTGACTAACACTCATCTTCTTGGTCTGGGTTCCTTCTTTCCTAGACAGATGTGTATCTGAGCTGGCCAAATCTATCACAGGACTCAGGCATTTTGGTCAAGGCTGTACCACATCCACACTGTCCCCCAACACACCACGGAGATGTGATCATGAATCCATTCTTGAAATCAACTACCCTTTACAAATGAAGAAATGCACTGCAAAACTAATAAGAAAAAAAAACAGAAAGTAGATCATCTCTACTACAACGCATTTATTTGTCGAATTCTATGAACTTTTCTTTCCCCCACACAGAGCACCAGGGTTTCTCTCCTATTCTTTATTTTGTTTGTACCCATACTTCCATTTCAAAGAATTTGGTAACAACCACAGGCCCTCGCAACCTCTCCCCCTAACCACACATAACACTAAAACCGCAAGTGCTTCACACCCAGCTAGTTCTATTCTTTTGATTGACAGGGAAAGGCTGCCACGTGGGCACTTGTGATTAACTTCCCTTTCCCCTAAGAAAGCAAGCCACTGGTTACCTTCTAGCAAGACCCCGCATTTCCAACAATCCCTGAGCTCAAACGCAGGGTTTGGGGCAGGACACTCTGGAAACAGAATGAACAGATCCTCACTGTTAGTAAGACATTAATTCCACCCAAATATGTCCCCAAAGCTTTTAAAGAAAACTTTAAAAGAATATTACAAAAGATCTTCAGTTTTTGCATTTCTCTAGGCAACTAGCTTATTCCTTTTTCTTCTTATTTTGCTTCCTCTTCTCCAAGTCTAAAAAGATTTTCCATGGTACTTTGGTCCCAGCCTATACTAAGAAAGACACAGGCCAAATTCATGAAAAACAACGATTCGCAGAAGAGAACTGCAGCCCCCACCTGCAAAGGGCCAAAGCAATTATATACTAGGAAGAATGTCTAACTTAAAGCCAAAGCCCTAATCACTGCTGGGAGAGTTTTTAAGTCTGTGAAACTGGCCTTCAAATTAACAACAAAATGTCCTGGTCCTCACTCTGAGGGCCAATGACCCAAATTTCCTTACATTAATTCAAGATGTGAGTTAGCAGTACAGTACGCAAATTAATTTCAAATGACAAGAGAAAAAGAAACATAACAGTACCAAAAGGAACAAAGTATACCCATCAGAACCAAACCCACCGGGCCAGCCTGGATGAGAGGAATTGATTCCCTGAGTTTAATTACAAGCCAGGCTGAGGCTCCCAGGCCCACTTCACCAGCACCCTAATGAGACCTCCCACTAACTTTGACTATCCTGGAGCAGTGTTTAAAAAGGTCAGTGGAAAACTGGGCATGGTGGTGCACACCTGTAGTCCCAGCTACTCAGAAGGCTGAGGCAAGATGATGGCTTCAGCCCAGGGAGTTTGAGTCCAGCCTGGGCAACATAGCAAGACCCTGTCTCTTTAAAAAAAAGGTTGATGGAGTAACATAACAAGTAAGTAGAATGTATGTGTTCAGTTTTAACTTTTCACTTCCATACTCCAATTCAAAACCCATCAAATACAAGCACCCATAAAGCAACTTGAAAATAATATCAGAATTCATACCACTATAGTTAACTGTGATTCCAAGTACTCCATAAAGCTAGTCTTTTCCAACACAGATTAACCAATCACCTTCACACACTTTAAACATAACAACATGTAAACATTTTGCTTGCTACATGCTTGTTCTGTAGCCTGAAAAATATATTGTCACAGACACAGTAAAATCAGCTCAATTCGTACTTCATGAAAATTTCCTTCTCTACTAAAAATACCCACTGACCTCTAATAGTGAGAATCTATAGTGGGTCAAGTTTCAGAAAATACAGCAGAGAAACATCCTGGCCATTTGTATAACAGTAATAAAATGCCTGTAATCCCAGCACTTTGGGAGGCCAAGGCAGACAGACTGCTTGAGCTCCGAAGTTCGAGGCCCGTGTGGGCAACATGGCGAAACCCCATCTTTTTTTTTTTTTTTTTTTAAGAAAACAATAATAATGGGGGAAGAAAATTCCTGATTCAGGGGGGTGGGGAAAACTACATGAATACTCAAAATGCAATCTGACTTACTGAATCACAGAAAACACAGCTTTGCTGTATTGTGTTTGGAGAAAGACGGATTTGGGATGTTACTAAGAAATTACTATACTCTACATACTCTTGTAAAACAATAAGATAGCTAATGTTTTATGAGTGATTATAAGACTAGTTTCTAAATGGCTTCCAATATAAAACCTAATAAAAATTTATTATGACAAACATTTGTGCAGCTGATTTACACTGGTTTGTGCCTTGACTGCAGTTAAAAAAATAAACATCTAGAAGTTAAAATTTGATACGGAATCATATACACAGAAAAAAGAAAAGAAAAACTGCATTCATGAACCTCCCCCCATACACCCCGGGTGGCCTTTATGTATAAATGCCATCAGTCACAAGGACAGACAGTTTCCTAAATGTGTACTTCCTAAGTTTTATTATTAGCAAAACTTAGAAAAGAGAGGGAAAGAGAGAGAGCAAAGCAAGGTAGTCAGTTGGGGCACACATTCCTACAACTAATGGAATGTCAAAGTATCATTTACTATTTTATTTTCCTCATTAGAAAAACCTCTTTCCTTCTTGATCAATGCTGGCTTTGAAAGGTTGACTGATGTTTCAAGACCTAGAAACTCTGAAAATAGTTGTCATTTCTAGCCTTTCAGCAAAACCAGAAACTGCTTTTGATAATAACCATGGAAACACCAACAGCATCAACAAAAGGAAAAAAATTTCATTAAAACAAAATAGAAACACAATGTGATCTTCTTTACCTCTGAAATTCTGGGAAAATCTGCTCATCCATCAACACACACCTGACTGTTTTGACCACTTCCCTGCTACTGTGAGAATATGGCTTTTCTTTCTCTTCCCAGTAACACTACACCAATGCCTTGGCATTGGCTCTGCCCATGTGGAATTAGCATGTCGCCATTATGAACCTGATGTGGGACACTGCCATTGGACAGGAGAAACCTAGAGGTTGTTTTAGTGCTTTTCCTTGAGCTAATCGCTCCTGTACACTTCAGGCAAACATTCCCCTTTGCTTTTTAAAAAATCAAATTAAGTAGCACAAAAAAAGGATATGGAGAGGGACTAAGAACTGTTATTAGAATTTTTCACATCCCCTATGCTAAAAAAAACTTTGGAAAAAAAAAAAAAAACTATAGTGGACAGGCTCCAGCACTGAGTATTGGAAAACATGAGTTCTAATCTGGGATTTGTCAATAAAATAATTAGCTCTGAACTTCAGTAATTAATTTCCTCTTATAAAATGACAATATTATAGATTAGCCCTTAAGGTTCCTTTCTGATCTTAAGGGAGTATGTTTCCTCCCTTCAATACCAATTGCTTACCCTGCATACCTAATATTGATTAAACTAAAGCTTAAAAAAAGACACATAAAAAAACTTCTAAAAACCTGTTTCCTTCATTTAAGTACAGCTTGAGCCTTCTGCATAAAAGGAAGAATCTAAGTAAAATGTTGAGAAAAGAATGTATTGAGCACACAGTGCTGATAATCACTGTGTTTTTATGCCAATAAAATCTAATTTTACAGCTGAGTTCTATACAGCTGTGCAAGAAAGACTCTTGCCATGGCTTGCCACTTGAAGGAAAGAAGGAGTGGTGATAATTGTTCATGCAGAAAAACCTCTTGAGACATGAGCAGTACCTGGAGGTATGTGCCCAGCTGCTTGGTTGAGGCACAAACAGTCTGGAATTTGCCTTCTTGTCTGATATGTGTTCATTAGTGAAGTAAAATCACAGTTGTCTGAAAAAGTTCTTAACCTTAAAAACGTTCTTGCGTTTTACATCCAATTATAAGCATAAAAGATTTAGTCGGGAGCATTTAAATCCACAGAGAAATCCTGTGAAACTGAGTTTTTTAGATTAAAAACACCACCACTTCAGATTAAAATAAATACTAGGTTCAAGCAACAAGCCCAAAGGAACCATCCACTGTGCCCTTAAGTGCAAAAAGGGGATGGATGTCCCTATTGTATAGGCCCTGCCTTCAAGAATCCATAGATGCTTTTTAAACATTTTTGGCTTGGCATAATTTTAAATTTGGCAAAGCAGAGTCATGTCTGAACTCAAATCTAATGTACAGGAAAGCACTATTTTCTCGGGGAGAAAAATCCATATATATAAGGATTATGAGTAAAAATTACATGTAATTTGAGGCTGCTTCCGTAAACCCCTATTAATATAAAGAGGTTGCTTCCATAGCAGCCCGACATACCCCAAATTTTACAGAAACATAAAAACTAAATGGAAAAAAATTACATCACTATATATACACAATCTCTTGACCTCAGATCCACATCCTCACATAATACCAGCTCAGTTTTGCAAATATTAACTAAAAGGGAAAGGGGGCTTATCTACAAAAAAAGTTTACCAACCAAAGGTTCGTTTGCTTTGTTCGTTGTTTTTAAGTGGTATTTACATAAGCTTGCAGACGTAATTAACCATTTTTATTAGAACACTTAGATTCCAGGTACACTCATATCACAATACATCTCACACCCTGACATCCCAAGGATGACAGTCAAGTATCTACAAGGAAACATGCCAAAGCTATGAGCCCTTATTCTCACACATACCCAAGCTAACCTGGTCACAGCATCCAAACATGGGAATAACTGAAAATATAGATTTTCAGTGAAATTTGAAATGTTATGTGTTTCTGTAAGACAGTGAGAGAAAAGTCTACAGAACTGTAGTCAGATAGTGAAAAACATCACTTCTAAAGCCCCTTGAGGAAGTCTAATTCTAATCTGCACGGGGAGGTGGAAAGAGACAGGAAGTCAGAACACATGCTCCTCCTCCCCAGCGCCAGAAGCTCACGCTTTACCCAGCCCTTGCCCAGACCTTGGGCACTACACCTGCCTGGCACCCCACAGCACTTTGACAGGTCCCACTGCTTTTCAGGACTGTGGTTCAAGGTTTTCCTATGTAAGCTCTCTGTGTCTTAGTTTCTTTATGTATAATATGAATGATATGGCTGCTTAAGTACATGACTTCCAGATAGCCCTTTAATAAGATCCAAAATGTATTTTATTGTTCTATTTGTAGAGATCTATTACGAATCAAATTCACATTTGTGCATCAATTTGGGCACCTAAGAGACATGCATAACACCCTTGAATAGAAGAAAAAAAAAATGTGTTGCAAGCACCAAACAACTGATTGCTTTCTGGAAAGATGTGGAGGAAGAGCTTTGAAGCTGCTATTTCAGCCTGCTGGGGCAAAGGCACTGTTTGGGGCACCTGCACACTAATTCTTACCTAGCATCAAAACATCCTATGAAGTAGCTGGTATTGTCCATTTACAAATATAGTAACTAAGGCTAAAGAAATAATTTTCCCAAAGAGACTCAGAAAGTGATAATGAAAAGTCCATGCTCTTAGCGAGCTAATTGTAACATCTAAGAATCTGACAACAAAACCCAAGTAGAAGAGCTGGCTAAAATTTATATATAGGTTAGTGAGTTTTAAAGACTAGATAAAACAAGCACATGGTACAAAACAGAAAAGGTATCAAAAGGTAACTTTCAAAGACAACCCATGAGAGTACATCTCCCTCCTAAGGAGTGCTTGGTTCCCCTCCACAAAGGCTACAATTGAGTTTTTGGTGCTTCCTTACCAAAATGCAGACTTAATAATTTTTAGAGCACATTTTAAAGTAGCTTAAGGAAGATGAAGCAAATCCATTATACTACCATTTAGCCTAGATGGTTTAAAATTAGAGGGGGGAAAAAACTAGCAGAAACCAAATTATAAATTGCTAAAGTTATGTCTTCCATGGTGATTTTAATGAAATGTGCCATGATTAAACACAAAAGCAAAATTATTTCCAAAGGGCAGCAAGTTATTGATGAAGAGACTGCTAGAGTAATATCTTTGGTACAAAGGGTTTCAAGATTCTATTAATTTTAAGTAACTACTGTAAAATAAGTATAAAGCAGGTTGAAGGCTTCTCCCTTTAATAATAACAATATTCCAAAAGAAGGACCTAGCTGAAAGGTACCTTATAAAATAACATCAAACAAAAGAACTTGAAAAAAGGTAATCAACCATTGTGTTAACCAGATATTTACTGTGTACCCACTTTGTGGTGGCACTGTGCTAGAATTCTAGGGTTCTAGAAATAAAGGCATAAGGTTAAATAGCATTACAATGAAATGTTATACTCAGTTAACTAAAAACGAATCTGCATTGGACACTTCTGACGAAATACCACACAAAGTCAACAGACCTCCATGCTCTACGAAACCTTTCATCTGAGATAAGCCCCAATGTCTAAATTTGGTTTCCCAGCTGTGGCCTCTTTTCTAGACTTTGAAATCTGACAGGTGTTACAGAAGGTGAATTTGTCTTCAAAACATACCCCATGCCTTAACCTTCATTTCTGATCAGCCAGGAGGATACTAAAATTTTTTGTTTAATCAGCTCGTATAGAATTCAATCATGTTTATTTTACACACTCAGTTTTGTTTAACTGAACCGATGTTATGAAACATTCATTATAAGGAAAAGAATCTGTACCATTAAACATCACTGACAGTTCCTCCTATTTATACTTAAATATATATTTCAAAGATTTCTGACATAAGCAATTGTAGATATTGGTTCAAATATTTTTTCAAAAAATTATCTGATTCTCACTCCTGCATGGTTGGGGGGATGGAAATCAGTAAGAACACTGTCTGATACATTGAAAATCAGTTTAGAACTGTTTTTTATTAACTAAAGGCAAGTTATTTCTTGAGAAATATTACATTTAATGACATTCTCATAAGCAGCTTTGTTTTTCACTTAATGTGACCGAACATAAAGCAAATACCAGGTGTTACTTAGAGCTCAGAAGAGACCGAAACAGAAATTTCACATGAAATGACAACAGTTAACAAACAAACAAATTAGCAGGTGCAAAGACATACTGTGTAAGGGAATATCTATTTACTATTTCAGATTAGCTCATTATGATAAAATTTTAATATAAAGTATGTATATAGTCATATTACTAATTCAGATAAACATTTTGAAAACATAAAAATGCAAAATTCTCTAGAAAAATATTTTCTCTCGACAGAAAACTGTCGCACACCAGAGAATTAAGGAGATTTGTTTTATTTAATAGATAAGAATGATAATTGGTATATATATGGCTTATACGCAAATAGGTGAATTTCAGTGTTTGAAAGCATGGTGCTTGCCTATATTCTAAACACTGCCTGTGAACAATGACATTAATTTATACTAATACAATTTGTTAAGAAAAAGTAAGCAGCTACATCCATTCATTTAAGAAATACCTATTTAGTTTCTCCTCTGTGCAAGACACTCTTCTGTGCTGAAGTTACACAAATTCTAAATTTAAGGAATTCATTAACGGGTTTTAAAATTTTTCCAGAAAAATCTTTTTAAATTTCAGCTTTGGTATAAAAGGCATGTTCTCCAATTCAATTTTAGTACTTCTCCTTATATGAACACAAAAGACACACACAAAATATTTTTCAGTTAATGTCACCAATAAACTCAAAGAAGCAGAATGAAAAACACAAGTAACATTTTAGGATTATTAATGGTTTTGATGTCATGAACCCCCAAGAGGGTCTTAGGAGTACCCAAGGGTCTCCCAGACGACACTTTGAGAGTTGTTGCTCCACACAAGCAAGTTATACGTAAAAACATAAAAAAAACAGATTGCTGTCCCTCCTTTATACTTTCTATTATACAACTAGAGTTCACCTGACAGGGTCTAAAGGAAGAACAAATTAATCCAAATTAAGAGGTATTCTAATTCTACCACAGATGTCTCTCTCCAGGACTTTATGCCACACTCATTAGAGAACATTTGTGAGGCAAATTCATTTGGTAAATCATGAGAGCAGAAAAGCAGGCTGGAGGGCTAAGAAAACTGATGTTGGGGGCCAGGTACTTCCTGCTGGGGCTGTCAGCAGAGTACAGGAGAGGTGGAGACTTGACACCCATAAATCCAGGCCTGTTAGATGGGGATCCCCGTGCAATCTCTCCTGTAATCAGACTCATGCCCCAGATTCAAAGCAAATGATCAAACACTAAGGAAGTAACGACAAATAATATTGTGTTGCCATTCTTAAGGAAGAATCATATCTGCTCTGATCTCTAGACCTTCATTTACTGCTCAATGAGCCCATTTTAAGTCCCGCCATGATTTGATCTAGTATTTTCTAGGGTCATTCATTTATTTATGTCTTTCATCAAAGAACCCAAAAGAAGTCTTCCAAAGCATAAAGAGAACTTTTAAAATGAGAACCTCAAGTTTCAAATATAGACAAAGGAATTAGTAGGACATTGAAATTCAGTTCCTAGAGCAACAAATTAGCAAAATCAAAATATGCCACAGCTAATTGATTTGCATTCAACAAACAGATGAGAGACTTCCCTTTCATTTTTAAAAATAGATTTAACAAGCATATTAATTTTCCACTGGCCGCTATAAATAAATGGAACTCCAAAATATCTTTCTTTGCGAAGGCGTTTGCTCTAGCCAGTCACTGTTAGCCTGACCCTGAGTGGAATGTGTATTTACATTGCCGAGAGGCAGCATTGTGTGCTGGTGGGAAACCACTTCTCACAAACCTCCCATTCAACCGAGGACTCCACAATAGGTACTCACACAGGAAGCACGCCTTGCAAAGAGCACCTCTGCCATTCCAGAAAGAATTTTCCAAGGCAGCAAGGATGGTGGACCACTATAAATGCCATGTTCACAGGCCCTAACTGCCTACACTTCAGGGTCAACAAAGCCAGTGTTGTTCACAACCATTCCCCCGAGTTCTTCCCAAGGTGAAGGGGAAACTCAACAATTCCATTTCATTTTTCTAGATAATCTCTCAGGGTATTGCTTTGTTTTTCTTTAAAAAAAAAATACTAAGCCATAATTGTTTTTCTCAAATATTCTGGAAAGTACTCCCAAGAATCTACTGCTTTTTCAAAGCCAACTGAAAGGTGTTAACATTGAATGTGCAATTTTTAAAAAATCAAAACTTCAAATATTACTTCATAACTCCACTGATTCCTTAAATACCGATTCCTTAAATACCTTAAATACCGACCACTGTGTTTAACTGCAAAGCCAAAAAATTATTTTAACTCCTCAACTAGAAAAGCATGTACTGTCAGTAGTATCATGTTAACAATGACTTCTGTACAGGTACATGCAGGAAATCAAGACAATGGTGACTGCTTACACATGCCATCAAATCAACTGGTGAATGAAAAATGAAATTAATAAATAGATTTTGGCAATTCAATACTAAACTACTAGCCTCAGGGTTTGGCTTTTTCCTCCATACTTGAGCATGTAAGGAAGTACAACCTGGTTCTTTAAAAAAATGTGTTGATTAAATTCTCAATACCCCAACTTCCCAACCTGTACAAGAAAAGAGGCAGCTGCTTCCAACAGTGTTATCTTACGGCCATTAAATAAGTTAATAATATTGGGCAAAGGGCAACTCTTCTGGCTTATTTTTCTCATTTCTTAAAAAAAAAAAAAAATTTCTTGCAGCTCCAGCTCAAAGGATTATTTCTCAAATTAAAGGACTGAATTCCATGACCAATGCCCCTGCCAGTTCTACTAATCTATCAATTTGGGTATAATAATAAAGAATATCACAAGTAATACATACATCTCAAGGATTTACTGGAAGTCTACTTAAGGCAGCTGCTGTAAAATAAAAGATATGTGTATCCATGCCCATCATAAATAATACCATTTACTAGTGTCAGGAAGTTGCTTTTACAACATAGAAAAAGTAAACCAGACTATGAGGAAGTGTTCACAATAGAATGCTTAGTGCAATTTACACAGTCAGATTATATATGTATACACAATTTTTTAAAAGACTGAAATGAAATAGAACCAAAATGTTAATGCTTAACTTATGGATAATAGAATAACGAATAAGTTGTATTTTTCTTTTGAACTTGCTATATTTTTTAAAATATTCTACAATGAGCATCTATAATTTGTATAATGATATAAGTTAACTTTTTTAAGAAAACATAATTCAATTTACTTTGCACCATGTGATTGTTTAAATTTTTGTGAGGAAATACTTTCAAACCACCACATACAAAGAGACCTAAAGAATACAGGTTTTATCCAAGTCTCACAGAACTAATCGTCACCATTCTACTCTGGCTGTGGGACACAACAATGGAAGAACATCTGTGGTTAAGTAATAGATTTGGTAACATTTACAAAACCAGCCCTAAGGTCATGTTTGCTGAGTAATCCTTAGATTAGGCATGCTCACTAGGACCAACCCAAACAGCTAAAAAAGAGGGGTGGGGGAAGCAGGTTCCACAGCCTTACTTTTTTTAGATAACAAGTGCTCCATAAAATCCTCTTCCAACTGCCAAAATAAATCAAACTTTCTGGGTGGAGAACTCGCTGTCAATCAAATGGGAATCAGCAAAGATAAACCTAATAATAGAATCTGTTACATACTTACTTAGCTGTACTAACTATGCTAGTCTCTAACTAGCACAAAAGACTTCAAAAGCTCTTGCTTGAAAAGTACAGGGTGGGGTCAGAGATTTCCTTAGGAGCTGGCAAGCCTCATTCTTTAACAGTGGAAAAGTAACTACCCACTCTTATCTTTATGGGTTCTTTCCAGCCCACCCGCCCTCATCCCATACCTTTTAAAAATATTTGGCCCGTATTTTTATTCCCACATTCCTATGCGTTATAGCGTATAATACATGTTCACTCTAGAAATCTGAAAATACAGAAAAGCAAGAAGAAAGTTTAATTGTTCATAATCTCACCACTCAAAAATAGCCACTGTTAAAATGATGATGTATTTCCTCTCAATCTTGCTTTTCTATTTGAAATTTACAGTAAGGGGCTACAGATTATAATCAATCTGCCTATTTTTTTATTTTTGATACATAACAGTGATACTCATTACTTTAAAAAATAAGCAAGCTGGTTCCTAAATCACATTTTACTTCAGAGAAGATGGTGAAATTCTCCTCTAGGGTCCTGGACTCTGGCAGAAAGATGGCAATAAACCAGAAAAACAGATGATACAACAGGTATGTCCACTGTGCACTCAGAGGCACAATTTCTTTTTATATGATATTAGGCTACAATGACAAAATGCTTTTAGATTGTGTGCACATATTTTAAATAGAATTATTTAAATCCATTATGAAGACTGGATTCCATGAATTAATAAAAATGCAATTCCTTGTTTCTACGTTTATAGGTATGCAAGTTTCTGAAAGTTAAAGGGTGCATTTTCTATCTTCTGAGAGCTACAGGATGTTTTATGTTAACTGTCTGTAGCACCTATTTCACAACTATAAACCTATCCCAACCAATAATCAGAATGAATGTATGTACCAGGAACCAGGTTCAATGGCACTTTGCCCCAGAATACTTAATTAACCCTGAGCATCTAGGTTGTATTGTTACCAGTAAAATTCACAGAGAACCAAACTGGCAATATGTACGATGTGGCTTAAGATATTTTAGAACAATGTATGAAAACATACATCACAGTATGAAACAGTGAAAACTTGGAAGGTATTTTATCCATACAATGCAAAACTCTACAGCCAATTTTAAATGCTGTAGAAATCAATCTGCTAACATAGGAAGGTGTTCACAACACATTGTTTGTAGGGGGAAATAACAGGTTAACAAGGAAGTGCACGCTGTGATACTCTGTGCAAAACTAGGCTTTTTGTTTGTTTGTTTGTTTGTTTGTTTTTTTAACAAAGAAAAGAGTCTAGAAGAACATACACCAAAGTGTTCATAGTGATTTTGATAAAGTAGGTAGAAAGAAGAATCTTTTGATGTATCAATGCTCCAAGACTTTTTTAATGATGCTTGTGTTAGGAGAGGGGAAAAATAGTACACAGAACAAAGAGCATCTTAAGGGCAATCTGATCACATCTGTGCCAAATAATCTAACGGAAAAATGTGAAACAGATCATGGATATCTGGTCAAGGGTAATCCTATTAAACAAAACCCCTCTCTATGAGTACCCGATATGGGTCACTGGCTGCGACAATCTCTCTTCTAAAGCTGTGCTATAGCTCTCAGAAAAAGGTGTGAGCTGTTCTAGGCCCTTCACTTTGGGCCCAGTGGCGCCAATGGGCAGTGGTGGTGGGGACTGTGAATCTCCTAGAAGCTATTTTCAGTTTCAGAATATACCACAGAATCCCAAGTCTGAAAAAGAACTTTGAGAAGTTCAGCTCTGACTCAGGCTTGTACTGTATCTAAACATCCCTAGTAGATCAGAGGCTTCAAAATATCAAAACTTGGTATTTTTTTATTACACTATATCCTTCAGCTAATTATCCCAGGATTTCCTCTCTCAAACAGTTGGTAAAAATACATTTACTTTGAACAACAGGATGATAGGAATAGATAAGGTCAGAATTAGACAGAACTGTGTCTGAGTCAATGAAAAACAAAAATTGCCGAGTATTTTAAAATCACCATTACTGAAGAGAGTATTCCTTTGATGAAGTCTGTTACCTCTGACTCTTCCTTTCCATTACCACCACCAGCAGCAACACCCTAGTTCAGGAACTAGTCAAGTCACTACTAGATTCTGAAAAAGTACAGGACCCATTTACTCTGCCTACTGTCCCTGTCATGTCCCTTCTGTCCACTCTACCCTGCACATGCAGACCATGTAATTTAGTTCTGGAACCTCACTTCCACTAAGCCACTACACACCCGCTCACAGACCAGTGATTCTTCAAGCAGAAGCACCCATAAGAGATGGGGAACAGAGGACTTAGCACTGTGAGGGGAGTCATTCTACAACACTAACCATTCAGGTTAGAGTTTCTCCAGATATGTGCAGGAACTATCAGCAACAGAATTAAGCGGGGTGCTTGTTTAAAAACGCAGATTCCTCACAGATATTCACAGCAGCATTACTTAAATAACTCAAAAAGGAGAAACCATCCAACAGAAGAATGGACACACAAAAATGTATCCATTTTATGGACGCATAGCTTAAATGTATCCATTTTATGGATACATTCCTTAAAAAGGAATAAAATACTGATACATGCTACAGCATAGATGAGCCCTGAAAATATTATGCAAAGTAGAAAAGGCCAGTTAGAGAAGGCCACATAATGTACGATTCCCTTTATATGAAATGTCCAGAATAGGCAAATGTAGACAGAAAGTAGACTGGTGGTTGCTTGGGGCTGGGGTTGACGGTGGGAAGCAACTGCCAACGGCTATGAGGTTTCTTTTAGAAGGGACAAAAATGTTCTAGAATTTGCTAGTGGTGGTGGTTACACAATGCCGATGTTCTAGAATTTGCTAGTGGTGGTGGTTACACAATGCCGATGTTCTAGAATTTGCTAGTGGTGGTGGTTACACAATGCCGATGTTCTAGAATTTGCTAGTGGTGGTGGTTACACAATGCCGATGTTCTAGAATTTGCTAGTGGTGGTGGTTACACAATGCCGATGTTCTAGAATTTGCTAGTGGTGGTGGTTACACAATGCCGATGTTCTAGAATTTGCTAGTGGTGGTGGTTGCATAACGACATGAATATGCTAAAAATATTAAATTTTACACCTTAAATGCATGAGCTGTATGACATGTGAAATATATCTCAATACAGCTGTTTAAAAATCCAGAGTCCTCAGTTCTCACTTAGATCTACTAAACCAGAATCTCTGAAGGGAGGCCTAGATATCCTCCCTTTGAACAGAAAGAGCAGGCAGTGTGTATTCTCACGAAATTCTCCAGAAGATTCCTTAGTACACTAAAGTTAGCACTGCCTTTGATCTTTTTCTGAACCTTAAAGGCTATACCAGTGTATTTCCTTCCAGGTGCAGTGACTCACACCAGTAATCCCAGCACTTTGGGAGGTTGAAGAGGGAGGACAGCCTGAGGCCAGGAGTTCGAGACCACCCTGGGCGACACAGTAAGAGACCCACTCTCTAAAATATTTAAAAATTAGATGGGGCCGGGCGCGGTGACTCACGCCTGTAATCCCAGCATTTTGGGAGGCCAAGGCGGGCGGATCACGAGGTCAGGAGATCGAGACCATCCTGGCTAACACGATGAAACCCCTTCTCTACTAAAAATACAAAAAATTAGCCGGGTGCGGTGGCGGGCGCCTGTAGTCCCAGCTACTCGGGAGGCTGAGGCAGGAGAATGGCGTGAACCCGGGAGGCGGAGCTTGCAGTGAGCCAAGATAGTGCCACTGCACTCCAGCCTGGGTGACAGAGCAAGACTCCGTCTCAAAAAAAAAAAAAAAATTAGCTGGGTGGGGTGGGGATACTGAGGTGGGAGGATCAGGAGGTCAAGGACCCAGGAGTTTAAGGGGTAGTAAGCTATGATTATGCCCCTGCACTTCACCCTGAGCAACAGAGCGACAATCCTGTCTCTAAAAAAAGATTCTGGCCAGGTGCAGTGGCTCATGCCTGTAATCCCAGCACTTTGGGAGGCCAAGGTGGGAGGATCGCTTGAGCCCAGTAGTTCAAGACCAGCCTGGACAACATAGAAAGATGCCATCTCTACAAAAAATAAAAAAGTAGCCAGGTGTGGTGGTGCACACCTGTAGTCTCAGCTCACAATCTCAGCTACTCAGGAGACTGAGGTGGGAGAATCACTTGAGCCCAGGAGGCAGAGGTTGCAGTGAGCCATTATCATGCCACTGCGCTCCGGCCTGGGCAACAGAGTGAGACACTGTATAAACAAAACAAAAAAATCTAATGTATTTCCTACTCTGCCCTACACAACCCTCCCATGTGAACAGTGTCCTGATACTGGGGAGCAAGAGACCGCTGCTGAGCTTTTGCTCTTGCTATTCTCTCCTCCTCTTTTCCAGGACACCCACAGTTCTGTCCAGGTCGTGCTACTTAAAGCTACATCAAAATTACTACGGTTCACAGTAACCTCTACAGAGAATCCTTAGGGTCTTCCTATCCTCATGCATGAAAGGAGGGTGATGGACTGGGTAATGACTAGACTTTCTCCCATACCTGAAATTATGAGCCTCTCTGAGAGATACTCAAAAAAGACTCCAGGCAAACAGCCTTTCCTCCATTCAGTCCACGTTTTACATCCACATAATAATGTGTATTGAGCAATTTTCTCCCCCACTTAATAATGTGTGGGGAAGCTAAATAAATTAAGGAAGAATCTTTTTGTTAAGGCTCAGAAAATGTATACCTAACACAAGGTAGAGTCCAGCATATGACAGGGGCTCAGGCATTTGATGAACTCCTTAACTGATAGCCAAAAAGTCAATCGTTTAGCTTGAATCTCTTCCTGGATCTCCAGGTTTGCTGAGGAGTCCATACAGAGCTTTTGCATGGAGAGACCTGTCATTCTGTGCTGCTCTGTTTGACATAGGAGGTTTGCTGTTCTTCTACTCCAAGATGATATTATCAACCACTATCATAAACACTTGAAATGTGCATTGTTTTTTCTATCAGTAATGATGGCTTTATGACAGCATTTGAGAGAAACTTAAGGTTAGAGGTGCCATGCATGGTCATGAAATGAACACAGAAAACTGACTCATCTTATAGTCAAATTTACAACCCTATTTGAGGCAATCTAAAGCCATCTGTTACAGCACTCCCCTACCCCCTCACCTCCCTAACACACACACACACACACACACACACACACACACACCCCAGTAAAGTCAGGGCACTGTGAGTAATATTACTAGAAGCTACACAATTTTGACCATTTCTCTTTAGTGACTACTCTTGTCAAGATGACTAAATACAAATTCCACATGAAAATGTGTGTTAAGAGGTATTTCCTACAAATAAAAGCCAACTTTTGAAGATAATTTTTGCACCATATTTAACAGATATGAATACGTATTCTTATATGTTTAGCAACTGCAGTGACAAAGTTACTTCCTAAAGCTAAAATTAAGATGCTCCAAAGCAAATATACACAAACATGCATGCATGCATACACACATACACAAACGCACACACACTTTTCAGAACACTAGGAAACTACAAAGTGCTTGATACTACAATGCTCATCTCTAAATCTATTTTTAAAATTCTGACTTCTGTAATTTCTAATCATATTTTTTCATACATCTGCAAATTAAGGGAAAATATCTACCTTTTCTTCCATATGTACTGCCTCTATTCACATTTTAAAATTACATAGATAGAGCAAAACCTTGGTAATTCAACTTAATTGAAGAAAAAAGGCCCATCTAAATGTATGAAAAGAAGCATTTGCAACAAGAAATTTAAAGGCAGCTAAAACTTTCAACAGCACTGACAGGTGGAAATCCTCTGTACTTAACAGATAAGACATACTTGTATCTATAACAGTTACTTAAAAAATATTTTCCCAAATACTTCAGAAGAGTTTTATTATATTCTACTCCTTCCCTCCACTTCCCCAAGCCCGTCCTTGTTTTACTTATTTCCTAAACTCTTCATAGGCAATGAAGAAATTACTGGGATGAAAAGTAGTTATATAGGTTCAGTATTCCTCACCTGAAATGCTTGGGACCCTAGGTGTTTCAGATTTCAGATCTGAATTTTCAGATTTTGGAATATCTGCATATACATAATACAAAGTATCATATACAGGTATCTTGGGGATGGGACCCAAGTCTAAACATGAAATTTCTGTTTCACATACACCCTTATACACATAACCTGAAGATAATTTTATACAATATTTTAAATAATATTATACATGAAACAAAGTTTTGGCTGCAACCAGTCACACAAGGTTGGGTGTGGAATTTTCCACTGTGGCATCCTGTTGGCACTCAAAAAGTTTCAGATTTTGGAGCATTTTGGATTTTCAAATTGCAGATACTCAATCTGTATTATCTTCAGTACCCGGATCACACAAGGTAAAGAATAATTTAGTTTTGTGAGCTGGATCCTAAGTAACAGGAAAAAACTGAAAGGGTGCCATTTCAGTTCATTTTCACAACCCTATCCCACTCCATGAGCAAGGAAAGTGATTAAGAATACTGCTCTGGAGAAGCAGGAAACTTGGATTATTCTGTTCTCACCAAGAACTATTTCTGTGTTCCTAAGCACAAGTCCTTCTCCAGCTCCCTGTTTGTTTGTTTGTTTGTTTGTTTGTTTATTTTTGGTCACAGCCCTAGGTTTCCTCTCACATGCCCACTCCAATTGACTTTGGTACCTGCCTAGAGTGCAGAGTTGAGAAAGATTCACTGCCCCCGCTCAGTGATAATTAGAGATGGCTGTCAAGGTCATGGGATTAAGGAGCTAGGAGATGTGCATCACATATTTGCCATCCACTGGTTAGAAAAAAGCACCAAGGACCTGCCTGCTCAAGTTTTCTCAGTAACAACAGTAGCAGAAAAAAGGAGGCACGTTTGAAGTTGGACGAGTTGTAGAGAAAAAGACAAAGTCTCTGGCTTCCACTTCTAATTCACTCAACATTTCAGAGATAATATTAATATCTGGAAATTCGGAATAGACTAATTTTAAAAATTTTAAAGCAGTATCTAACAATTTACATATCAGGATTAAACACAACTGTTCAACTCATATAACAGCCATCACAACTGACAGATATCACACCCAAAACACTGATACAAATGAATTATATATGTCGAAATCATATTTGTCATTAACGTTGTAAAAAGTTGAGATGGCCGACCTGGGAATTCATTCCCTCAGTTGTTCAAACATTTACTCGGTATCTTATGCAGCCGGCACGGTGCAGACCCTAGATACATAGTTTTCCACTTATGGCTGACTTTGTAATTGAGCTATTCAAGAGATTTTTAGATAATGAATCGACACTGAGATTTTCAAACCTCCATGCCTTGATCTTCACAAGACAGCCTTATTAGAATCTTGATTTTTTTAATGTTCCAAGAGTCTTCTGTCAGAGATATTAAGATAGTGCTATGACTGAAATTATATTAATGGCAAAAATCATAATTACTTTTGTACCCACCCAATAATTTAAAATCTTCATACTGCTGAGGGCTTAATACACCCTACATTCGATTTGTGCATGGTATGTGTTGTGCCGTCCCCTACCTTCGATCAACTGATGACTCAGTACTGATCTTCCCAGGGAAATCCTCCAAACCTCTGCGGACAGCTGTGCCACATTGCATCCTGTTTCCAACATTCACTAAGGAAATTTCCTCATCCCTAATGAATTCTTACTGTTTTTTTCTAGGGTTTAAGAAAATCCTATGGTAAAATATCCTGCCCCTAGTTTTATACTGTACCCCTATAACACACATTTTAAAAGATGTTTTCCTACACTCTTGATTCAAATATTTAATTTGGAAACAAGAATTAGTAAAGTAATAATAATTTGTGCTGAACTAATTTTTACTTTTACTTTGCAAATTAAATAATTAATAATTTGTGAACTAAATTTTACTTTGTCCTATGGGTATTAGTTGCTCACTATGAATTTTGAGAGCTCACAGGACATTGAAAATCCCATTTATCCAAAACTAATTCTGTGAAATTCAATACCATGACAAGTCAGTGCTCTTGTCAATGCCTTTTTTGTCCCGTAGAAAGCTAATTTATCACTTAAAACAGAACCCTGAATATTATTTGGCTATTGTCTGTAAATTTTAAAATCTTACAGTTGAATAAATGAGTAAAAATATTACTATTGTTATAGCTTTTGTACAAGCTAATCATTTTAAGCATCACACATTCCACAGGAGAATACTGTCAACACAAGTAATCATAAAATCATAATGGCTACCTTTTGTAGAATTTATTTAAAATGTGGTTTTTAAATGATCAATTGCATTTCTTTTTTAGATTTCACTATGTAAAATTTATCTTTTTATTTATAAGTGTAACACTGGCACCTACTTTTAAATCAATTTATGAAACCATTCTCTTTTGTAGGATAAGTATTGTCATTGAAATATACATCTTATAAAATACAGTTTAAAGAAATGTAATAGCTATGTACAAAACATTTCAAACATTTATATTCAGCAAATCAATTGCATTTCAAAATATAATTACGAAGGTACAGACTTGTGTGATTTGATGTATGGGCATTACATTTAATTTAAAACATACTTTACATGGGATTCATTCTAGCACGAGAGACACTGACTGAAACCCACA
Source organism: Homo sapiens (assembly GCF_000001405.40). NCBI lineage: Eukaryota > Metazoa > Chordata > Mammalia > Primates > Hominidae > Homo > Homo sapiens. Next base: position 172,088,424 of record NC_000003.12, on the reverse strand, counting down.
TGATACTGAGGAAAGATGACCGTGGTGGCCATCTGGAGATTTGGGTTTCAGTTCTGTTATGTATGCTAGCTGCAGGAGTTAGGTTTCTCAGTCTACATTTATTTGCAACATAAAAAGGTTGGACTAGACTACCTGCAAATTCCCTTCTAATATGAACTTCTGTGGTACCAGTACAGCGGTTTTGCTAATTTAGGATTCAAGTTGTAAATAAAGGCCTACTTGGAAGAAATTTTCCCTAGAAAGTACCTTGTTTAGCCACATAACTTTATAGAAAAATTACAATAGCTGTACAACACTCATTTAGGTCACACCTTGAATGATAAGCATTTTTAGGCTGTCAGCTTTTCCAGGAACAAGATGTGGCAGGCAATTTCCTGGTTCTAAGCATATGACTTACTCTGAAAAAAACGAATGGCTGAGGTGACGAATGATAAAAGCTTCAAGATACATGAACCAAAGTGGTATATACTACATTCTCATCTCTTGCTAATGTGGACTATCTTCTCTTGCATATTTCTAACTATTTAGAGATCTCCAATTATTTGGAGATCTAGAGCTAGGGCTCTCAAATTCTCAATCAGCCTTCACGTGCTACAGAAAGATCACAAATGGAGAAGCATTGAATTCTTATAGCCCCTGGCAAATACCAAAGATTCCAAATCATATTTGTACATCAGCATTAATTTTTCCCCAGTGAGGGTTTGATTTCATTTCCAGCATGTTACAACCTATACAAGTTTTAAAAATGCAACATCAGGATTTAAAATTTGCAATGAAATTTGAAAAAAAAATTTTTTTTAATCAGCAGCACCTCTGAGATTATCTATTCCATCCCTTATTTTTCAGAGGTCACACCACTGATTAATGGCAGGATAAGGTCTCTTGCTTCTCAAATCACTTCAAATTTCTAAGCATATTTTCCACCTAAGTTTACAAAGGAAATCTAACCAAGTTATAAGCTCTTTTAACGCCCACACACATATGCACTCATTCTTACTTATCAAATTCCAAAATGTTAATTATCCCACTGTCTTTCCCTATTACATCAGCCTCTATGTGAGAAGTCCCAAACCTGGCAAGTAGTACGGCTCACAGAGAAAACAAGTATTATCTATGTGAATAACAGCAAGTCTCTAAAAGACCAACAGCAGAAGAAAAAGATGGCTTCGGTCAAGCTGATAGTTTATAATATAGGCAAGGTAAGTTATGCGCCTTAACTAGAAGTACATTACCTAAAAATAGGAAATCAATTCTTTTCAAAAAAGGTATATTTATTTTCTAAACAAAAGAAAGATGACTCAAAATTATCCTTCTCATTCCGTTTGGATTCTACACTGTTTTGAGCATGCCACTTCCTTCCATCTCCGGGAGTGGCTTGGAAGAAATGGAACTATAAACTCTGGTAAAAGTGAGGAAAAGCAAGAAACCATGTGAAGCCAGGAACTCACCACCTGTGGTGTCTGTTCTTTAATAAATCTATCCAGGTGAAAATTTCTAAGGTATGTGACACAGGAAAAATACTCTGCTACATGCTAATACATCTTCTGTAGAAAACTTCCATCAAGCTTGAGAAACTCTGAGTTGAAGAGCTAGAAGTTCTTTAACACTACACTTCAAAGAACTTTTAATATACACTGAGAATCTCCCCAAGGCCGAACGTTTTTGAACACACAAACTTTTTAAGATCTAATGTTCACTAGAGAATGCCTTTTGGATAACTCTGATCTAACAACTTAATTCTTTTCAATTCTCCTAATGAGATTATGTGAAATCCCAATTTTATAAAGATTATATGAAAATAAGAAATGTTATTAGCATTTCACTTACATAGTTCCTTTAAATAAGAACTTAGGCCAATTTTTACATAAAGAGTCACATAATCAAATAGGCAATTCATGAGTCTAAAGGACTAATTGTACAATCTAATTTATCCATATAATAACAAAACACAAGTCACATTTCCACATTAAACATGGCTTGAAATTGCCAATTTTCCAATGTACCCTTGGAAGCATATGCCATTTGTTCTTTATATTAAAAGGGAAGCAGAGCTTTTTTTTTTTTAAAGATCAGGTCTTGCTCTGTCATCCAGGCTGAAGTGCAGTGGCAGGATCATGGCTCACTACAGCCTCTACCTCCTGAGCTCAAGCAAACCTCCTACCTTAGCCTCCCAAGTAGCTGGGACTACAGGTGTGTGCCACCATACCCAGCTAATTTTTAATTTATTGTAGACACGTCATCTCTTTATGTTGCCCAGGCCAGTCTCAAACTTCTGGCCTCAAGTGATCCTCCTACCTCAGTCTCCTAAAGTGCTGGGAATACAGGTGTGAACCACCATGCCTGGCCCAGAGCTTAATTGTTTAGGTCTTAGACAACAAATCTCAAGCATTCATTTCTCCTGGATGAAATATCACTTTTTACAAGTAATATTTTTTAAATCTTTTGCAATTTTTGCCACCTTTACAAACAGAAAAATAAAAGCTCTCTAGAATAGAGACTATGTATACACCTATAGAGCCCTTCTAATACTGTATCTGAGAAACAAGCAATGTGGCCATGCACTTTTAACATCCGAATCCATTATGCATTAATAGTTCAACAAAGGAAGCACTTTTCCCCAGACTCACATTCCATGCTACCACTTCCACAGTCAAAGCACTGAGGTTAATTCCTTTGAATTGCTATCTCTTCTCTTCTGCATACCATCAGCAATCATAACCATAATCATAAAAAGTCTAGACCTCAAAGAAGCAGAGGTCTTAGATAAACACATCAAGGGGCTCCAAGTTTCAATTGCCTAACAAGGGCCATGGAGGCAATGTCGATGAGTGAAGTGGTTGACCTTTCCTTTATTTCCTTTCAAAAAACATGGCTGAATATTTCTTCATATTTAAAAATTAAAGAATGTAAAAGATGGGAAAAAGCAACTGACAACTCAGCTTCGGTATCAAGAGTTAACAGAGAGTCAGGGGGACTGTGGTAAACTAGAGAGCAAATGCCCTTTCTTAACAGTGAGCTGCTATTTAGTTCAAGACCTTCACTAACCATATAGGAATGCAGGCCATGTTGTCAGATCTTTCAGTTTCTAAAGAAAAAAACAAAACAAACAAACCAAAAAAGCTAGAAATCTTATTTTACGTGAAATCCCTTAGTTCTTAAATGTTGCTTGCAAAGTTTTTAAAACACTCTACAAAACCAAACGCAAAAAAATCTGTAGGCCATATCCTGAAGCCCAGCTTTACAAATTCAATCTCATTGATCAAATCAAATGAGGTAAGCAGTATCATCCCAAGATGTCCCACCACTTGCTCAAAGCTGAAAACATAATCTAAGATCAAGGAGATGATCTCATCACCTTGTAGCACCACGTATTTACCACATGTTGATTCATTTCATCACCAAATTTACTATGGAGCTGGAGAACCCACTATGCATTAATATGCTGTTCCAGAAATTGAAACTTCACCAGTGCCCAAGACAAAAAAAGAAAGGCAAAAATTCTTGTTCTCATTAAGTTTACATTCTCGTAAGGGGAAAGAAACAATGAACATAATAAGTAAATTATGTAGTATGCAAGAAAATGATACATACTATTTTAAAAAACAGAACAGAGTAATTGAAATCAGGTGCACTAACTACATAGTCTCCTACTTTATGAAAGTTTTATTTGGGGCCAAAATCTTTTCTAAGGAGATAAGAAGCCGAATACGGCCAAACCATGTAACTGGACAAATTAACCTTGAATGTCTCAGTTTCGTTATCCATAAAATAAAGATACTGTTGCCTGATCTATGTAGCCCCAACTTACGTTGAAGACAACCATTAGCTAAATATTTGAGTGAACAAAAGTGAAAATAATAACACTATTTTAGTGGTAGAAGCATAATACTGCCTCATAAATCTTTCCAGAGATTCAGAATATACGTGTGTGTGTGTGTATGTGTGTGTGTGTATACATATACATATTTTTTTTTTGAGACAAGGTCTCACTCTGTCACCAGGTTGGAGTGCAGTGGCACCATCTCAGCTCACCACAGCCTTGACCTCCCAGGTTCAGGTGATCCCCCGACCTCTGCCTCCCGAATAGCTGGGCCTACAAGCGTGCACCACCACGCCCAGCTAATTTTTTTTATTTTTTTGTAGAGACAGGGTTTTGCAACATTGTCCAGCCTGGTCTCAAACTCCTGGCCTCAAGCAATCCTCCCACCTTGGCCTCCCAAGCTACTGGGATTAAAGACGTGAGCCACGGCACCCAGCCCAGAATACTTTGTAAACGTCCCAAGCCCTTTGATCCTTCAGAAGTAACAAGTAGCCACTAAAATCATTAACGTTTCCCTTCCATTCTGATGTTGACTGATCCAAAGGCCACAGAACTGTGGCAACCTCCATGAACTCTAGGAGAGGCTTTTACTTTTTTATACCTCTCTATTGTCTGAAAAAAAAAATTTCCTTTACTAAGAATATAAATAACTTTCACAATTAAAAAGAAAAATAAACTAAGGTCACAATGCAGTTAAGAAACAGAGCTAAACCTATGCCTGGGTCCACCTGGCTACTATACTTTCATTTCACAAAAAGATTAATAGATTTAACAGTGTAGAAACAAGATTTATAATTCCTGATTTCTTTTAGTATTTTTTTATTATAATCTGACCACATCTTGAAATCGTAAGAAGACGTCAATATACAGAAGAAATCAAGTTCTTTATATTTTCTACCCATCTTCACTCTAATTATCCAGCACTTACCATTTTCATTATGAATTTGCTTCCTAACAACTACCTGATGTCTTGTATTCTCTGTGAAGTTGCTAGTGAAGTGTTTTATTTGATTGTCCCAATTATAGGACATGATGGTTTTGAGACACCCCTCCATAGGTCTCTCATGCTTCTACATATCCTGCCATTTTGTATCAAGGCCATTTCTCAAAGTTATGTTTGCAGTGAGCAATGTGAACAGACAGATGAGGTAGTATCTTCCCCCTTGGAACAAAGAGCAAGTTCATTTACTGCATGCTATAAAAGCAGCAGATTCTCCGAGTTCAGTGTTCCTCAGCAGCAACGCAAACCCAAAGTGTGTGCAGCTCCATCTGCACGCTCCATCCTTATCACCCCTGTGGGACATGGAGGCAAGGACGAACCAACATAGGCATGCCAGTAAGCCCTAAGCATAAGAGTTTACACTATTTGGTATGTCAGGAGTAATACAGTCCTTTTTCTGTGGTACAGGAACCCCTTGTCTTCTCCCAGCATCCATGAAACTGTGGCAGGCTAACTATCACTTGAAGTAGGGTACAATCAAAACCCAGACTCAACAACATCAAATCAAGTTAAATAATCACTTATTTATTCTGAGATGTTGTTCTTGGTAAGCTTACACACCACACTTGCAAACATTCTAACCCTAACAGCATGCCTAGTTTCCTTTGTACTTTATCACTAAGGCACACAAACATATATACAGACATGAAATATCGTACTTCATACTGGGTTTCAGAAATACTTAATAAACTTCAATGGAATCTAGCTGTCACTAATTCAGTACCTCTTACTTCTAAATGAGTAGAGAGCTACATCTGGATGTGAAACTGGCATTTCCAATCCAGTCTTCTACCCTTTCACTCCCTCAGCACAGACCACTTCAGAGAAAAGAAGAGTAAGTTTTAGGCAAAGAGTCATAAAAATCCACATTAAGTCAAACTTCTCTGGGCCTGAATCTGTTTACCCACAAAGCAAGAGGGCCAGACCAGAGGGACTTGTCTCTTTTTCCAGTTACAATTCCAGTGATTCCACGTTCAGCCTATACATGGGTGGAACATTCTTTGCTGCTTCGTTCAGTGCTGGAGTAGGTTACAAAGTGTGGTCCTGCTGAACGGCTGGAGAATGAACTAGATGTCCTCTCAGGATGACTCCCGGCCCTATAATCCCATGATGTGCTTATAATGGAATTTGGCTGTCCTTATAATTAGAAATGTAGCTTGCTGGTCACACATCTGGATCAGATAAATCTGCACAAAGAGCATTTCACCAGAAGCAGAAATGCCAAGCATCCAGCAGCTGTGTCGTTACATCAGCCTTGCAAATAACAAGGAATACTATTTGTCCATAGAAAGTAAATGACTGGGTCAGGCAGGAATAAAGCTAAGTTTATTCACATTATTTGGGGACAGGAAAAAATGTTTATGAAAACATATATTGGTCAGACCTCCACATTAATGAATGAGACTGATGAGGAAAATAATTCATATACACAAAAGAATTCAAATGCCAAAACTATATCCTTATTTCCTGCCACCTTAATGATGAGTTTCTTTTTACTGAACTTTTATAAATGTAATAGGCTCCCCTGACTTGCATCTCAACATATCACACAGAATTGTGAACCTAATCCATAATTAAGTATTATCAAAGTGTCAAATGTACTCTGGGAATATTCACATCCATAGAAAATAAATGTGCTTCAAGTTAACAATTAATTTCACTCAGCCATTGTGCCCAGATAATATAAAACAAGAGGAAATTATTTTCCTTAAAAGAAATAAAAGCTCTTTTTAGTCAATTAGGTAAGCATTAACTACCTTTCACTTTGAAGCACATTTCTTAAAACCAAATGCTTAATGCACTAATCTAACTGCTCTGAAGAATAACTGCCAAAAGGTATGACGAGTGACAAACAGGTATGAATACCAAATCTGTCACCTGTTACTAACCTTACCAACAGAGCCATTCAATCTTCTAATTTATAATACTGCTCAGAATTTTATTTTCTGCATCCAAAAGTGTATTCAGCATATTATCGATCTAAGGAAAAAGAAAACTTTTCTATCAAGTCGATGCCTTATTTTGAAATGTATGTATGGAATTAATCTTAAGGTTTTATCCTGTAAAATGTAAAACTCAAAATAGAGTCACTTTATATACAACTATTATGTACCCATAATAATTAAAATTAAAATGTTAAAAACAGTCACTTTACATACAAAGCACAAATATGGAAAATCACAATATTAGCATGACTGCCCTTACTTCAAAATTCCAGGCTCATGTCAATAAGTTTTGTGCTCTGTAAAGAAAAAAAAGAGAACAAAAATCAGAGAGCTACTGAGACAAAAGAAATGCCACCGACACCAAGGTTACATTTCTGATTAATGGAGAAAACAGTGATGATTACAGAAGTAAAGTAAGACAGAAGCAAATTTCTGTAGTTGCTAAGTGGGAGAATCCAAAAGGTAATCTAACTCTCAGTTCTTACATCTGTAAACCACTAGTGCCAATCAATACCTATGATCAATCCTGAAGAGAGTACTGGGATAAAAAAGTCAACCGAATAGATGAATCTTAGGGAAAATAGAGTTACTACATCACAACTTTCAATCTCTATATATCAATTGTTAAAGTAAAATCTTAGACTAGCATGACACACTGATGGTCAGTTAATCAATTTTTAAGAGTGCATTAACTATTTCCAAACAATGGGAAACAACGTAAGCAGCTGAAGTCCTTAACTTACATGAATTCCTAAGTAAGTTACTATAAGGAAAATGAGTCCAACACTTGAAACAATCTAACAGTTGGATTCAGAGAATCTACTCTACAAGGATTTTACATGAAACACATGAGGTGCCCTTAACAGACACAGAGAGGAGATTCACCATCTAACTCCCATCTGAGGCCTGGCAGGTTTTTACTAAGTAAATATCAACTTTGAACCCATGATGGACACACATCAGTCTACCACCACCAGATTACAGGTGAGCTCTGAGCCTTTGGGCTTTATCCCAAAGTGAAACAACACTAGAAGGGCAGGTTCCATCCCTTCAAGACTAGAGTCAAAAATTCAACGATTCAGGCCTAGTACAGTGCCTCACACCTGTAATCCCAACACTTTGGGAGGCTGAGGCAGGAAGACTGCCTGAGACCAGGAGTTCAAGACCAGCCTGGGAAATATAGCAAGACCCTTCATCTCTAGAAAAAAAAAAAAATTTAAATTAGCCAGGCATGGTAATACATACTTACAGCCGTAGCTACTTGGGAGGCTGAGGCAGAAGGATCACTTGAGCCCAGGAGTTCAAGGTTGCAGTGAGCTAGTATCATGCCACTGCACCCCAGCCTGAGTGACAAAGCAAGACTCTGTCTCTTAAAAAAAAAGAAAGAAAAAATTCTAAGCTTCAGAAGATGCCTTCAAGGGTGGGAACTCCCAAGACATGGTTAATAGCAGGACCACACTCAGTTTCAAAAATCAATTCATGAAATATCCAATCTCCTTTCAAAGCCCTGGATACAAGGCAATTAATGAAACTGGGTAGTACCCCTTTTTTTTTATAATTCAGGTAACTGATTGTCATTAGCAACTAGGTCTAAGAATGCAGTATGAACATTTTGTAAGACAAACCTTATTTTTCTGTTTTGAGTTTTTCCGTAGCCCCATTTTCTTGACTGGGCATTTAACAAACTTTTTGTTTTAGGACCCTGTTTGTGATCTCAGATTTGAAGCTGAACATCTGAGATGTTACGCAGCCTCATAGGGTTTCAGTTACCAAGACTGACAGATCAACAGCTAGGTTGGCAGTGCAAAAATCCACTATCTGTTTTTGAAGAAACGGATTTTCTGCCTCCATGTTTTTCATTTCCAGGAATAATACTTCTCTCATGACAAGCAGACTTGTAAAATGAGGAGAAGCCCTTATCAGAAACCAGACTTCCTCCCTCTCCACACCCAGCACCTCTCTTTAAAAAATGTCCCAAATCCTGTCTTTATTAGAATTTGAATTTTGTCATCTTAAAGGATACTGGTGATTTCCCATATTATGGCTATACGGGAATTATCTCCCATCCCCAGTGCTAAAGTAAGACCTCAACAACAGCCAGCACAAGAATCATTGCAAGATACCTCTGTTTTGATGGCAGAAATGCCCTGGTTGCAAAATTTCTTTCCAATTATCTGAAGTCTTTTGGGTCTGTATCTGTCCAATTCACTTGCCAGTTTGTTCTTCCTGATCTCTTCTATTAAACTAGCAGAAGCATCTGGGACTGCAGCTCCCAACACAGAATCCCACCAAGGCCAAACTCCATCTTTGGAGAAAGGGAGAGACCCATTCTGGATTTAACAAGCATGAGGACCACGCAGGCTCCTGAGACTTAATACACATTTATTTTTTTTCCCCAACCAGCAGAAGATACTGAGGCCTCGTCTCACTAACATGCTACAGTTTAACAGCATGTTAAACTTTTACAGTAATGATGAATTCATATTTTTGATGTCATGTCTTCCTAATTCTGGGGAGATCATTCATTCATTTATAAATCTAGGGCCAGATCAAACTAGGTCAACCAACACTGACCTTATATAAATGTCAGTCTCTACCAAGGGCCTACTGCATACATAATTTCTATAGGGCGTGAGTTAAATTATTATCTCAAAGGTTACTAAAATACCGACCTCAGAGATTACGTGGGGAAAAGTCATCAGTGTGTTCTTTATTACCTGTATCAACAGATCGTGTAGTAAACACATTCCCGTGGCAATCATGTGATGGTCATCACCAAGAGAACTTCCTTTAGCAGGCTGCCTTGGGCAGGAACATTGAAAACTTTTACCTGAATTGCCCCTCTCATTTGAGGAATGCACCCTCAAACCAATGAGCACAAGAAAGACACCTGGGTGGCAGCGGGCAGAAAGCTATCATTAAAGTCAAAGTGTTTAGTGCAGATTGCCCTCAACCAAAGTACCACTGTTTTCTCATCTACAGCAACCTTAATGTTTCAGTATATTTGAATATCTACCCCCGATCAGCCTACTGCTCATTTCAAAGAAGCTAGGATGAAAAAGAAAAGGCAGGTTTTGTTTCACAAATGAAATTTACTATTTTCAAACAAAAGGTAAGGAATACATTCTGCAGTCACAGGCCTGGCTCCTCTACCTTCTTCTGATGCAGCGACCTACATTCCACTGGAGGTGGACATTGCAACAGCCCCTAAACCACAAGACGCCACTTACAGGTCCATAGTACAAAACAGCTATTTTCACATATTTCAAATTGAGGGAAGGGTTCATTTTAAGAATTAGTACAAAGTGTCATCTCACCTTAAAGAACAACAAGTCGAAAGAAAAGAGTTCACAGAAAAAGAGTCTAAAATATGAGCTCTGGCTGGGTGCAGTGGTTCATGCCTGTAATCCCAGCAATTTGGGAGGCCAAGGCAAGCGGATCACCTGAGGTCAGGAGTTCAAAACCAGCCTGGCCAACATGGCAAAACCCATCTCTACTAAAAGTACAAAAATTAGCAGGCCATGGTGGCGGCGGCCTGTAATCCCAGCTATTTGGGAGGCTGAGGCGGGAGAATCGCTTGATCCCAGGAGATGGAGGTTGCAGTGAGCAGAGATTGGCCCCTACACTCTAGCCTGGATGACAGAGGGAGACTCCATCTCAAAAAATAATAATAATAAATAGAAATAATTAAAAACAACAATAAAATATGAGCCCTAATTTGGATGTCTACCTAAAGTTATAATAATTAAACACATTCCACTTTTCTGTGTGCTTTATTTTGATTACTATTTTGTGTTTTGAGGCATCATTCTGCTGTAAGCCGAAAATATAATTTTTTAGGTAAATGTTAATGCCAAATACTATTCCAGTCCATCTTTGGGAATTTAAATTACTAGGCAACTTAAAAGCATTCAAGTTTTCTTTTTTGGGGGGGAAAAAGTCAAATATTTCTATAAACGGGAGCCTTTCTACATGAGACCACAGAAAAGAATTCATTAATTTTCTCTCAGACAACCACACTGGAGGCCAAAATCTTTGTTCAGGAAAGGGAGAGAGCATTCATCAATTAGGTATAGTAATGTTCTGGGGCTTTGTTTATAAGTCCGACATAAATCGCCATCTGCTAACTTGGACTAGAAAGCTTTAATTGATATTTATGTAGTTCAGAATAAAGTAAAGGAAGAGGCCTGTGTGAAAACACCACTCCATAATGATTTTCACACCGCTGGATCAATGCAATCCTATTCTGACTGAATAATGTCATGTTTAAGGCTTCCTTCCCATGCCCTTTCATTATCTAGACATTAGTTTCTCATGTTAGAAATATATTTACATCTCCTATGACAAATTCCTAATTTGTAAATTTTCAAACAACAGAAGGAAAAAAAATCAGACTAGTTTCTAAAAGGTAAATAAACTGCAGTTTCACCTAAGCACAGATTTTTAATGCTTCAGATTCCTTAAATTACATTCAACTTATTATAAACACTTTTTTTTATTTTTTTTAACCAATTTATTCCCATCTGTTTCAAATGCTGGGTCTCCAGTTATTCTTTCTTGATGAATTCTATTTACCTATCATCATTTTCAAGTTGTACTTATTATGTGATTTGATCACTCGTTTATATAATTTCATTATGCAGATTTTGTTTTCTAACTAAAATGCAAGCTTTGAAGATAGAGACCATATCTTTTGTTTATTTTGTTCATTCAAATCTCTTGCCCTAATATATTACTTTACATAAAACAAACATAAGTAATTCAACCTCTAAAACCATTAACCTTGGCCCAAATTTACCCATGACAAAGTCACCCCAGGAAAAGTTATAATTTTATTTAAAAAGTGTACTTTATGTTCCCAAAGAGTTAAAGACCCCTCTTGATGCCCTGTGACCTGATTAGAATTCACATGCCTTTATCAAATACAATGGAAACTTTCAATCTTCCTTTAACCAGTCTGAACCTCAGGAAAAATAATTTCATATTTCTGTATTTTGATCATTTTTAAGTCTCTAATTTCCACTCTGTTTAAAAAAAATAAATTAATTAAAAATAATAAGGGAAACAACACATAGGTGCCTTTCCCAGAAATTGACATTTCATCTTTGCCAAGATGTGCACTCAAGTGGAAAGGCAGGAGGAACTCACAATGAAGAGAGTAAATGCCTGACAGTCTACAATAACATGGTGCCCTAAAAGATCACGTGCAACTGAGCAGTACAGAGGAATATCTATGACTGAGCGCTTGGGTATTTCATTTGACATTGCCATACTCCTAGTGGCTAGTGCAATTCTCTACAATGTACACTCTCTGAATGCAGACATTTTTGTTTTGCTCACTGCAGTGTCCTCAAGCACCAAGGATAGCCCTAACACATAGTAGTGCTCAGTACACATGTATAGAACAAACATTTGTAGAATAAATGTGTAATATAATGACATTAGTAGGAAACAATATAAAAGAAAGACCCTGGCCCTAGTTAAATTTTATTTTGAGATTAGATTTCTTCTGGTACCTTAAGAGGGATACAAACCGTAAGTATCCAGGAACAACCGACCAGTATGGTGATGAGTCAAAATATCAAATCACGAAAGAAAAAGCTTTGGAAACTGGGACCTTAAGCCTGTAAAAGAGGACTAAAGGCAAACAAGCTAACCATAGTTGAGTTTACAGGGTTATCATGTGAAAGAAGAAACGAATGTGTTCTGGGTTGCTATGGAGTAGTGTTTTTTGAACTCCAGGTCAGGACCCATTCTTGGGTCACATAATCAATTTAGTGGGTCACTGACTGGCATTCTTTTAAATAAAATCGAATAGAATTGCATCACAAAGGAAAAAGGCAAGTATTGATTTGTGAAACTTTTGATTCAGTTATATGTATATAAATGTTTGTGTGTGTGTGTGTGTGTGTGTGTGTGTGTGTGTGTGTGTGTTTACTGGGCTACAATGTAAAATATGTTTCTCAATGTGTGCCCCACTCAAAAATATGTGGAAAAATAGTGCTATAGAAGCCTATCTCTGACCATGCCAATTTAGGCTCAATATAAAAATGAGACATGTTTCAACAACAAAAAATTAACTGATTCCTTCTAAAAGTTGAAGGGTCAATATCCACTGCCAAGGAGCCTTCAGCTTTTAGAAGGAATCGGTTAATTCCCATTTTTGTTGTTGTTGACGTGTAGGGGATATTTCTATATCTTCATACAGAAATCAAAAACTGAAGGAAACCTAAGTGACCACTTGGTCCAACTTTTTCATATCATTAATCACAAAAATGAAGAGATCTAAAACCAAACTGGCGGGCAGAGGCAGAACCAGGACTAGAATATCATGCCTCCAGCACAGGCCAATGACCAAGTGTCAAGATGTTGTCCAGTAGGTCTCGGCACTAGCTCGAATGGAGAATTAGATGGCTTCCCTGGTTCTTGGCATTTAAAATTCTTTGATATAAAACTACAAGTATCGTACATATCTTTGGACAGTCAGTTTTATAAATTATCAAGATAAAAAGATAATAAGGACTATATTATTTATAGAGCTCAGGACTTCAAACATGATAAAAGTATTAAGGAAGCATCAAAGACCTCTTCCTTCAATGTTTTAGAAGACACAAAGACAAGGAAAAAAATGTTTTTGGCAACATAGGTACAAATGTACTAAAATCAAGAAGTTCAAATAGTTGTGATTGGATCATGTTTAAAACTCTGTAATTCTAAACACATACAATCACACAGGCTTTCACTCGTGCAAGGCAAGAAAGTTTTGTTATTGGAAGGAAGTTGGCAGAACAGGGTGGATAGTTTGACACTGGATGACAACACCAATTATGCCAGATGCAGTTCTGCAATAAGCTAACTGTGGGTCCCCAACCGGTAATCAATCATGTGACTGTGGCCACTAACGGGCTAGGGGCCTGCCAAATTTCACATGACTGATAGTTATGAAATAGCTTCCTTTCCGTGTGTCTCAAAACAGGCTTAAATTACCTTATTTTTTTCAGCCCTTAAAGTATAACCCATGCTATAAAATAGCAAACTAAGATATCTGCAACATCCTCCACCATGAAATCATACTCTACAGCCAAAAGACAAGATTCTTTAAGTCACAAGCAAGAAATCTCGCTGACTCTAGGACAAGCTGCTGACATGCAAAAGCACGAAGTAACAGGTTGCTGTTAAACAGAACTAATCTGATGTCTTTAAGTTTTAACCTTGTGCTAATTTTTCCTTTTTAAAAAAGAGTTCAAGGATCAGCAGTCATTCTAAGTCCTTGATACATGGCTGCTCTATGTATCTGTGTACAGGCTGATTTGATGTTTGTGAGCACACATTTCTGAGTTACGGAATTCACAGCATCTGTAAGCAGAGAATTAGGTCTGAATACTAGCCTAGCGGAATTGTGGAACCACAACTACTTGCACACAAGAGGGCCACCTCAGTGGCACTCACAATGGCCACAGGCAATAATGTAGCATCATCAAGACCTCCCTCAGGCTAGAAGCAGCCTTTCAATCAAGTGCCTGGAAAAATGGGGTCCAACACTTGTCAATTCATTTGCAGACAATTATATTTCAATCTATGTTTTGCAAGGTCTTACTCAGAGAAAGTCTTCCTCCACAGTCCTCATCCTGTGTTGCATCCCTTTCTTGAAGATGCAACTCAACATTCTCCTAAATTCAGACAAATGACCTGGCTTCCAAAAGGACAACATTTCTTAAGGGTCATGTGGTGGGGGAAGGGATCAGGGGAGAAAAAGCACAAGAGAAAAGTGTTACTTTTTTTTTTTTTGTCCTCAGTGAAGAGGACATGAAACAAGGTCAGGTAGTAAACTTACGCTACAAAATCATGCACCCATTGTAAGGTGGAGTCAGTTGTAAAGGTTCAATGAAAACAGTTAACTACAGAATATACCATATAGGGACATGCATAAGACTAATTCATCAAAAATGCCTTTACATAATGCTGATCTGCTCTTTGAATCATCATTAAAAGTGTAAATGGGAAGTTTATTGGCAAGGAGGCAGATACAGCAAACGGGAACTCACTCATCACAACTACCTTTTATTTCACAAATAAACCATAATTGTCTTTTCGAGAAGTCAAATCACTTTCTAGTGATATTTGGTTTCCCCTCCCAAAGGTTGTTTTGCCAACTGAAGAAAGTCAAAGTCCACAGCAACTAAATGATTTACCTAACTTCAGACAGAAGCTGGTACTGCAGCCAGGAACGAAGTGTGTTTCACCTGCTGTCCAATACTTTTTGTCTTAAAATCCCAATCCACTTTCACAGCCAGTCTCTACATTCGAACTGTTACACTTGAGAATTACAAATGGAAAGTGGGCAAACAGGACCTGCTGAAAACACCCCAACCACCATGTTCATTCCCAATGTTGGGAGGAACCTTCTCTCCAAACCTTTCAAAGCAGAGTTCCAGGCCCAGTGTTTAACACAGTAGCTGAGAAATAGCACCTGGCTATAGTACTGCAAGTCCTTCACATAAATGCTAACAATAACAGTTCAATCCCATCAACAAAGAAAATGTCTGTGTTATAACTGCTAAATGAGAGGGCTGCAGACATGTTTAATTATGTCTGCAGGGTGGCTATGGTCCAATACCTGCCACCATCTGGAGGCTTTGCTTGCTTCCATTTCAGAGCCCCACCATGGCTGGTGGAAACAACTACTCCGGCCCTTTTCATCAACACAAAGAAAAAATTAAAATAATTAGACTTAAGTGCCACATAAAGGCTTAGATGAAAGCACATCATAAGAGGCATCAGTGTCACCGTTTATGTGGCCTCAGTGTCATTTGAAATGAAATCTAGCTTCATTACCACTGAGTTTTCTTGATGTATTTTCATAGATGGGAGCTCTGTCAACATCAGGCTGTAGGAGAAAGATAAAGAGTTAAACACTTGCTTCTTAATGGCTGCTTTTGGCCCACAAAGTCCATTTTACTATCTTATCATCACGCCTAATGTTAAGCTTGACCAAGAAGCTGGACTCTTTACAAAGCAAGAACTCATCTACAAGGCTGAAAATCATGCGGGAATGTCAAAGCAGTTTTTGCTTGGCTACAAAGGAATTAACAAGAGGATGCCTCCAGATGCGGTAGACTGTGGATTTCCCAGGTTGGTGATCAAACAGGATTTTGTTGTTAGGCATCACAGTTTTAAACATTCAATTATCCACTTTGTAAAAATTTCACCTTTATTAACATTATTACTATTTCATGACACAACCATTCACTGACAACCCTAACGAGGTCAAGATACTGATAGCCACAAAATGCCAAGATATTGTCATTACCCCAGGAAACGCAAACTACAAATTCTCCCAGGTCTCTCAAACTCTATAGCCTCTCTGTCCAGTACTAGAACCACTAGCTACATGTAACTATTTAAATTTAAATTACTTAAAATTAAATAAAACCTTGAATTCTATTTCTCAGTCACACTAGCCACATTTGAGTAATCAACAGCCACATGTGACTAATGGGCATACGCATACTAGATAACGCGGGTATTTCCATAATTTCAACAATTCTATTGGACAGCACTGCTGTAAAATGCCGTATTTTCATTGAAGAAAATGAAGGATGAGTTTCCGACATATGAACTACTAGTATTTAACCAAAGGAGGCACTCCAGCAGAGTTGTTAAGGGCCAGTACTCATGAACTCAACTGTTACAATTCTGACCCTGGCTTGACCACTTAGCACTGGGATTGGAGCCAGTTACTTCACTCTCCATGTCTCAGTTTCTATCTGTAAAACAAGGATAAATACAACATCTATCCTCGTAAGACCATGGTAATGAGAAAATGACTTCATACGGAAGTGCTCGCTATGTTAATTTTCACTGTCATTATTACTAAGCCCTACAATATGCTTCAAAGCCCCCAAAAATGTGCATACCCTTTTTTAGCTAATAAGTATTTTGTTCCTTTGAATGTGTGTGACAACCAGCCTCCATGCTGTCTTGAGGTATTTGAGAGAAAAACTAAGATTCACTAGCCACAATCTGACTTATAAATCTGACCACCTTTCATAAGACTCTTCACAGAGAATAAAAAAAAATTAATTCTGATTTTATTTCACTATTTTTAACAAAATAAAAATTTTAGTGAATCAATTAATGGACTATATACACATATAAACCAGGTTAGTTTTTCCAAGTCAGGCTAAATTCATACCATTAAGGTGTATAAATATATATATACCTAAAGATCCATGAGCCCATAAAACCATTTACTTATTCTATAAATCCTTAAGACTTTGCCTTAATAATCACCTGCAATTAGCAAATACTTTGCTTGAATGGAAACCTGCTATTAAAGTTATATCCAACTCAATGAAAATTCCAAATTAGTTGAGTCTAAACTAACGATTGAGTAAGCTTAGGGTATACTATATTTAGCCTATTTGAAATAGCTGGGAAATATAATGACTGAAAACACATAAAACTGAAGAACAGTGTGTTTCTACACAATAGTTTTAAAGTTTATGAAGTGTCTTATTTTTTAATTGAATAATTAAGTCTGAAAAATAGACTAATTTTTAGCACTATCAAAACACGCATTTGTTACTGTGAATAATTTTTTCCACATATAAGAAAAAAAATTTTGTCAGCCAAAACCAGTAACCTTGAAAAATGCTGATTAGTTAGAAATTGCATAATCCTGACCAATTTTTGCAGCAAAAATGCCTGTATTTTTCCTGAAAACTTTTTGTTTTAAATTAGATGAAAATATATTTCCGAAAGAACTTATCTGAAAAAAATACTGAAATATTGAAGGATGAAATAATATGCCTGAGATTTGCTTCAGAATATTACAGCAAGGAGCAGAGAATGAAAACGGGTAAAGATGAAACAAGACTGGCACGAGCTGATTGATTGTCAAGGCTGGGTAATAAGTCCAGGGGGATCCACTACTATTCTCTACTTTTGTCTATGTTCAAATTTTTTTCATAAATTACAATGTTTTTAAAAAGCTCATCTAAGAAAAGTGTAAGGTGTTTTTGGCTTAAAGTAAAAGGTAAATGCTAAATATGTGATAGCAAAGATACATTAGTTTCACAGTCAGTAGCCGGAGTGCTAGGATTCTGCTCTTCTCCCCTCGTCAGCCACTACAGACAGCAGGATTTACGATTATCCCAAACAACTGTATGTCCAGGGGAGTGTTGATCCTTTCATGCGACCTGGTTTTGGATCTTGTTTATCTCTTTCTTCACCAATTCCAGAGAAAGAAAACCACAGGGTAGATTGGCTAACACACTCCGGAAATAGCCAAGGGTCTTATTTTGATATCATAATTCTTGAGTCCAAGATGTACCCTATTTTTTAAGACTTTCGAAAGGTTGCACTCTATTGACAGATCTCAGTTTAGCACCAGAACATCTAAAATTGCAGTTACGGTAACAGGATGATTTAATCCCCTAATAACGGCCTGGAAAAATGTTAGCATGTTGAAAATATTTCACGTTCATATCATTTCAAAAGTGCAGAAGATAAGCACCTACAGATTTTCAATTAGAGGTTAGCCAACCTTGAGACATCATACATGCCCTGGAAAGAAAAGGGAGCAGGGGACCTGGAATTCAGAGACTGGAATGGAAGCAGTAGCTTGACTTCTCCCTTTATTTGCCACAGTGCCCTAAGTAAGGAAAGGCACACAACTCTCAGACTAGGTTTTCTCATCTGAAAACTGGGATAATAGTCACTGTGTTCACACCACAGGGTCACTGTGAGAATGCTACAATAAACGATATATATAATAGAAACAGATTTGGAAATACGGTGGTATTTAAATATAAGGCATCACCTTGTAAACTGCTTTAGTAGCCCCCCTAAAATGGCTTTAGGCTATTCCCCTACTTGGAATCTGAAAGGGGAAAAGGCCAATTAAATTGAAGAAGACTAAATGGGATTGTCAGCCAGATTCCACAACTCCCTCCCAGTGAAGCTGAAACAAGAGCCACCTGGCCAGAGCATCAAAAGGGCACTGGACTGAAAAGTCAGATAGCTATGAAAAGTCAGCACAGCAGTCTGGAGAGTAGAGAAACTAAGGCAAACCAGTAAGACTAAAGGCACGCAAAAACAACTTAAAAAACCCACTCATTCACCTATGTAACAAACCCACACGTTCTGTACATGTATCCCAGAACTTAAAATTAAAAAATAAAAATAAGTAAATTTTTAAAACCCACTAATTCTTCAAAGATCTCAACCTTTGCCTAAAAGTATTAATAGAGATATTTAGTGGCTCTAGCCACGTAAAAGCAGCATTTTACAAAACATTTTGCTTAGGAAAATAAAATGAATGAATACCTAAGAACATCCGATTTGATTTTATTAAGATATTCAAAACTGTCCACTTCAAGTGGAGACAGCAGCCAACAGCAGAGCCCTCTCCTGAGGATTCCATGCCCTCACCCTCCCACAGGTACTAGAGTGACCTGCTAAATTGACTGGAAGCCCTGGCGAAACTCACCGGGAGGTTACCAGGTCAAGTAAATTGACAGCAACGTTTTGCAGCAGAAGTACAAGAAGCTGACCTAAATAACTAAATGAAGGACAGGAAAATATGTAACACAGAATAAGATTTACAAAGGAATATGGAGTTTCAGGAGGGGAATGATGTTATGTCCCCTCCCTGAAGACCACAACTGCCTGGCTACAAACCCTAAGTCCACAACTGACTAGCTTTTAACTTCAGGCAAGTTGCTTACCCTCTCACTACCTCTGCTTCTTCACTGGCAAAGTGGAAATAATAAAATAAAGCACCTAATTCAGGACACTGTGAGGATTAAATGAAGAAATGCATGTAAAGCATTTAGAACAGTGTCTGGCACATAGCAAGCACTCAGTCTGGGCTTATTATTAAATTTCCTGACAAAATGTTTTTATTCTTGCTATAAATGAGGGCTCCTCTGGCCGGGCACGGTGGCTCATGCCTGTAATCCCAGCATTTTGGGAGGCCGAGGCAGGTGGATCATCTGACGTCAGGAGTTTGAGACTAGCCTAGCCAACATGGTGGAACCCCATCTCTTCCAAAAATACAAACAATTACCAGAGCGTGGTGGCTTAAGCCTGTGATCCCAGCCACTCAGCAGGCTGAGGCAGGAGAATTGCTTGAACCCGGGTGGCGGAGGCTGCAGTGAGACGAGATTGTGCCACTGCACTCCAGCCTGGGAGACAGAGTGAGACCCCATCTCAAAAAAAAAAAAAAAAAAGGCTCCTCACAAAGTGTCCAAATACTTGCTCAGCAGTTCAGAAGGAGAACTACAAAATTAATTCAAGTAAAATGTCTGAGGAAACAGAGGGATGAGTATTGAAAGTGGGAGCCATGGTCGAGCCAGTCCATCATTAGCTTCTGTTCTTTCTGGCGCTTCCCCATTCACTCGGCAGAGCATCAGCTCTGACCCTGGGGATATAAAGGTGAACTTACAAGCCCTCTGCAGGAGCCCAGAATGGGAGTCCACTGGGGGGAATAGGTGGGTAACTAAATGACAAAAGTGTATAAGACAAAATAGAATCCCCTGAAAAGAGCAGCAGGGGCTACAGAATGGGATCCACCAGGATGAGCCTGAAGAGTTGGGAAAGGTAGACCGAAAGCAAGGCAGTCGCCCTGTGACTGAGGTGGAGGAGTGGGGAGGTATGACAGGCAGTAGAGACACAGGGAGGCCATGTACAGCCCAGAGGGAGAAGATGATGATGGCCTGAACGTTCTCTGCTCTCAGGAGTCATAAGTATTCTACCATTAATTCCCAGAGGAAGTCTCTTCAAAACAGACAGGAGAAGGAAACACCTATAATAAGTCTTGCAGGTTAAGTGGCAGAGAAACAAACTGGTTTCCCTAGGTCTACAAAAGAGCCTGTTCTGTAGTACTAACTCTTGGACCACAAATCCCTAACAAGATGCAAACTTCTGAAGATTCTTAATGGGCCTGTTAAGTAATTTTTTTTTCAAGTGTGATGACATTTTGCTCCACTGATCCAGGTGCAAAGACTGTACCAAAAACCCACCAGAGACTTTGCTTCGTATAGGAAACTCTTGATGTAATTGTAGCTCTATGACTCACGGTAATTATCTTTTTAAAGAAACATAAAACACTAAGAAAGTGTACTTTTATTTTATGATCTTCTATAAAATAACAGCATTAGTATTTCATTCATAAGTGTAATAAAGTAACATCAAACAAGAAAAAAAGCAGAGTCCGACTCTGGTGCCTTAGTGAACGCAGAAAAGCCTCACAGATCAGATTTACAGTAAGCCAGACAAACTCATCTCCACACCACTTTCATCCTTCTCATCAAAAAGGTAGTAAGACTTCAAAAAGCACATCAATCAGGCCATTCTCGCTGTTTAAGACACAACCCCAAAAGAACTCAAACTAATTACAGCGCCACATTATATACAGAAAAATACCACTGCTGTCTGAATAATATCTAAACAGTGGAAATTTAAAAGGACAAAATTAGGAAGCAAAATAATAAAAGCCTAGAGGAGGATTTTGATAGCTCATGGAAGACTGGGTGAGGGTAGGAGACTGCGGACCAAGTCTTATATCTGCACAGGAGAAAGAACCAAGTTAGAAACCACTCTACATAAAGCAAGGAGGAAGAGCTGCAATCTGAGAAAAGGGTGATCTGGTACAAGACCCCTAAATCCACAATAAGAGAATATTGTGTATGTCTCAAAAAGAGAGTATTGTATATGTCTGCTACTGAACAACAGCAACAAAAATTTTTACACTTTTCAGTAAAAGTGCTTCAAAAGAGCTGCCTATGTTCACACACTCGTGCAACCAATTAAAAGTATAATAATCAAAATTAGTTCATTTTCAATGTATAGACCAGAATCTCAAAACAGATAAAAATTCCTTTCTGAAGTATGCAACTTAGTGTCACTTCTCCATGTGTAGCATTTTCTTCGAAAACACAAAACTTTGTTAATGTTCTTCTAACTCCCAAGTTACTCAGTAACCACAAGAGTAACTGAAAGCAGTCTGGGAACAGCAGCACGTAGATCCAGGTCTTAATCTGAGCCTTGTGACCAAGCTTTACTAAATGGCTCAACCCAGACAAGTCCTGAGTTTCCCAGAGGAAAATGAGCTTTATTTCCTGAAGCCTGTAGCCACCTCTGTCCTGAAAGGACAGGAAATTGTAGTCATTTTCGCCAAAACTATATGTAAACAGGCTGCAGAAGGGAGTTACCTAGATATTGCCTTGGGCAGATATTACCTCCCAAAGTCTCAGTTTTCTCATCAGGAAAATAGGAATCACATCGTTCCCCTTCCAGGGTTGATATGAAGGTACACAAGATCATATGTGGAATTTAAGATGCTCTAATGCCTAAAATGGCAAAACTTGGTGTTAGTATCATTATCGCCTCACTGCTCATCTCCCCAGGCCCACCTCCCACCCATATTGAACACCCAAACGTCATCATTACCCCTAGCAACCACAGAATCATGGGAAGACAGAACAGATGAAGTTTGGTAAGCTACTAAATAACAGTTGTGGGCTAACAGCCAGGTTATCAGACAAGCAAACGCAACCCAAATGAAGCTTCTTACCTGCATTTCTACATCAGCTACAATGGTCTTGGTGTATCTCTACATTCCAAGCCTTCATGCATCCTTTGTAAATACTAAGAATCAGGGGTATTTAGGTTGACAAAGTAACTACATTAACCACATAATCATACCTCTACATCATTATCACCAAGAACAACAGTATTCCAAATATTAGACTCATAACTCTAAAGCAACAATTTCCTCCCCTCACTCTCTGGGAAAAAAGAAAGAAAGAAAAACTTTGCAGAGGAATAAAGTGGGAAGCCAGTGTTCTAATATAAACATGACAAGCCCAATTCTATCACTGCAATATACTTTCTGACTTCAGTACAAAAATCTTTTCTGACCATCTGGAGCTACTCCAGGCATGAGGCCAAAACTTTGTAATTCCTTTTCAAAGTAAATGACAGATCAGTAACTGCCACGTTGCTAATGCACAGCCAAAGGGAGCACCTCATATCCTATTCAATGCTCCCTGGAGTTTTACACATATAGTAAAAACAAAGTGCTTCCAAATAAACCTGCCCACTTTCCAATATTCCAAACTGAACAGCGATCCTGTCACTTTTGAACAAGGCGGCATTTCTTCGGGTGTGATCCTATTACCCTATTTCACACACAGGAAGTAGGACTTCAAGTTTCACTAAAAAGTCATATCTACACTAAAATGAATCCTATGTATGTCCACTACTATTTCAGTTCTCCAGAAATGGCACATAGGAGTCTACCAAAAATTTTTTTTCTTTTGAGTCGGAGTCTAGCTCTGTCACCCAGGCTGGAGTGCAGTGGCACGATCTCAGCTCACTGCAACCTCCGCCTCCCAGGTTCAAGCAATTCTCCTGCCTCAGACTCCTGAGTAGCTGGGACTACAGGTGCATGCCACCATGCCCGGCTAATTTTTATATTTTTAGTAGAGATGGGGTTTCACCATGTTGGTCAGGCTGGTCTCGAACTCCTGACCTCATGATCCGTCCGCCTCAGACTCCCAAAGTGCTGGGATTACAGGCGTGAGCCACCGCACCAGGCCTCTACCAGAAATTTTAAGAGGCTGTTCTCTGCAGTGCCTGAGATGCCCATAAGGTTGCAATAAACATGGGGTCACATATATACAGGGCAACAGAGGTGAACTCAGGATCAATGGGGACCCATTAAGTTGGTGGACACTTGTTTTTAAACCCCACTGACTAGCAGAATCACTTTCTTCATTCATCCAACACACCAAATGGAGAGCCTACTATGCGCCAGGTACTGCAGTGATGACGAATGAAATCAAATCTCCCAACACCTTTGCCAAAAATATAAATTTGAAGAGCCCAAAACCAGTTTCATGTAATATGCCACTGATAATAAGAGCCATTTGAAAGCTCAGAAGCTAAAATTTGATAATCTTCCCCTGGAGCATATTGAGCAGAAAGATGTCAGCCAGCAATGGCTATGGACTTCCTACATTTCAAAGAAATGAAAGTTATCTCTGAAGTCACACTTTGCATTGGGGAGTTGTCTTACCCTTTTAAGTAAAACATTTTAAAACTGAACAACCTGAAAATTCATCTGTTAGCCAACCGTTTCTTACAAAGACAAGTTAAAAAGAGTTTTACAGATGAATAAAAGATGAGTAAACAGTAGCTGGCCACTAATCACAAAATTAAGCAGCAGATAGATTATAAATAAAAATATAAAACGGGTCATTATGGGGCTGACTTAGTCCATCTGGTCTGCTTTAACAAAATACCTTAGCCTGGGTAATTACAAACAACAGAAATTCATTTCTTACAGTTCTCGGGGTTGGTAAGTCCAAAATCAAGGCACCAACAAATCAGATGTCTGGTGAGGGCTCCTTTCCTGGTTCACAGATGGTGCCTTCTTGCTGTGTCCTCACATGGTGGAGGGGCAATCAGGCTCCCTTAGGCTGTCTATCTAATCTATCTATCTATTTTAAGAGAGAGTCTTGCTATGTTGTCCAGGCTGGAGTGCAGGGGTTATTCACTCACTGCAGCCTCAAACTCCTGGCCTCAAGCAATCTTCTCACGGCCACAGCCTTCCATATAGCTGGAACTATAGATTCGCACCACCACACCTGGCCCTTAAGCTTCTTTTATAAGGGCGTGAATGCCATTCATGAGGGATCCACCCTCATGATGTAACTGTCTCCTAAAGGCCCCACCTCTTAACACCATCAACTTGGGGGTTAGATTTCAACATATAAATAAATTTGGTGAGGGGAGAGAGACACAAACATTCAGACCACAGCAGGGTCTCATCCTGATGAAAAACTGTCCCTAAGGATAAATTCACAAAATCAGAGTAAGAGAGCTAGAAAAGGCATTAGAGATGGTCCTACTCTGATTTTACCCAGCTCCTCTGTTAGAGACTCTATTTTTTTCAGGCTGCCCTCAAAACATCATGTGATCATTACTAAAATAATGGCATCTGAATGTCCTGAGCCAACTCCGAATGGAACCCCTTGTGTCCTATCTGAGAACAGGAAAGAGATCAGCAATCATATCAGACAGTCACAGACAATTCAGAATCCTGGTAAGGGAAAGAGTAGAAACCTCAGTGCAGATTCCTCGTCACAGGAATGCATGAGGAGGACACTGTCCTCAGTCTTTGGGGCTAGAAGGGGAAGAGAAGTAAACGTTGACAGAATTATCCTTCTCAAAGAGTTTAACAGGCACAGTGGAAATTCCAAGGCAGATATCACTATCAAAGAAAACTGTTGGGAGGAGAATGGGTAGCAGGGGAGAGTATCAGCGATACAAGAATCTGAACAGAAGGACAATGTACAAGAAAAGGTAGGGACTTTCTGAAGGCATTTTTGGTGGCGGTGGGTGGGGATGAAGTAAACAGCAAAGAATAGACTGTAGAAAAAGACAAAAATGCTATCTTATTTTAGGGAACTGTGGAACATTTGAAGAAAAATGGGGAAAATACAAAAAAATCAAGACTTGCTTCAAAAGTATATAACGAAAAAATGTATTTAACAAGGAAGATAGGGAGAAAAGATACGTGTAAAGAAAGGACAGCAATGGATCATTCAAAAGAGAAATCTTAAAATCTATGAGAGCAAGATATGGTTTTGTAGCATTAGATCATACACCAATTTCACTTCCTTCAAAGGCATCACCAAAAAAAGTAATGCTTTAAAGAGAGACACTATTTTTTTTTCTGACTCTGCCTACATTCACTTAATTCTTCATTCTCCTCTCATTTTGACCTAAGTTATTCACTTAAGATTAACTTTTTCTCAGTGATATACGGGCTTCAGGAAATAACTAATAGAAGTCAAAATGAGAAGAGGATGGATGGATGGGTGGATGGATGGATAGATGGATGGAGAATGACTTAACAGTTTGGCAGAGTCAAAAAAAAAAGTACTTAGAAATACCATATATAATATCAGCTCTGCTCAAATTGCAAAATGCCAATCATAATACTTATACAATAATCAAACAATGATAAAGAGAAAATCCCACTTTCAAGAAGGAGAAAAGTGGCCAGGCGCGGTGGCTCACGCCTGTAATCGCAGCACTTTGGGAGGTCAAGACAGGTAGCTTGGCTAACACAGTGAAACCCCATCTCTACTAAAAATCCAAAAAATTAGCCAGGCGTGGTAGCACACATCTGTCATCCCAGCTACTCGGGAGGCTGAGGCAGGAGAATCACTTGAACCTGCGAGGCGGAGGTTGCAATGAGCTGAGATCATGCCCCTGCACTCCAGCCTGGGTGACGGAGAGAGACTCCATCTCAAAAAAAAAAAAAAGAAGGAGGAGAAAAGTAGCAGAAATTGGGGTACTAGGGACCAATAACAGACAGGGGCAGGAAGAAAGGAGGCAAATTCCCAACCCTAGAAAAGGAAAAGAATAAATTTGTATATAGCCTGCAAGGGGGCTGAGGGGTAAGGAGAGAAGGAATGGGGACTGAGCACTTCATGGTCATGCTGGCACTGATCAGCTTCCGGACATGTCCTTTATTGCATGTATAAAAAAACTATTAAGGAAGAAGTGAAACTGCACAAACTTAACCTCAGCACCAGCATGATTACCTCACGTAACTTCTTTTCTTAGTATCCCTAAACAGAAAGTCATTCAGATAAATAAGTTTATGGTTTTTGATAAGTGTCCCCTAGTAACCTGGTTTATGCATCATGCATTAGTTTGTGGAACTGAAAGGTTAATGCTGGAAAAAAAGATCAGAGATCTCTTTGGTTCTTTGCCCCGACTTAGTTAAGATTGTGTAACTTGTGCAAATATAACCATTTCCTGTCCGCTGAACAAAGCAATTAGTGGACTGGGTACAGTTTCTGAGACAATTTAAGGGAAGAAATCAATCTGGCCATGTCTCACTGTAGTTCATTTTAAAGAAAGAAACAAAAGAGACAGGAAAATATAGAATATCACTATTTTGTTGAATAGAAGTCATTCTTGCTTTATATAACCTTCTTCCCCCACAGATTGTACATGACACATTAGGAAAAGAATCTGCTTCAAAACGGCTTGCAAAGAATATATCTAACACCCATAACTTCAATTTACTATTAAAAAGTAGGCTGGGTGTGGTGGCTCATGCCTGTAATCCCAGCACTTTGGGAGGCCGAGGCGGGAGGATCACGAGGTCAGGAGATCGAGACCATCCTGGCTAACACGGTGAAACCCTGTCTCTACTAAACATAAAAAAAAATAGCCGGGCTTGGTGGCGGGCACCTGTAATCCCAGCTACTCGGGAGGCTGAGGCAGGAGAATGGTGCGAACCCGGGAGGCGGAGCTTGCAGTGAACCGAGATCACGCCACTGCACTCTAGCCTGGGTGACAGAGCGAGACTCCATCTCAAAAAAAAAAAAAAAAAGTAATGTGCAGACCAGGCCGTTTTAAAAGAAAAAATTGGTATCACTTCATGAGTTTAGAATAAGCATCCATTATTCATATAGGATGGGCTCTGCAAAAAGAAATATCAGGGAAGGAAGAGCAAAGAAAAGATGAAATGCAACCTGTGCTTCCAGTGACTTCCCAGGGCTGGTTCCAGGAGCTCAGGAGGTATAGAAACACTGCCTTCATTTTCCTCAAACCTTTATTGCTTAAACTAGCTTAAGTGGGTTTCTGTTATCTGCAATGCAATAATTATTGACTGAACAAGAAAAACCTTTCTATCTTCACATAATTTGAAGTATCTCAGTTATTCCTCTTGATTGAAAGTTCCATATGCCTCCAATAGTAAGAATTATAATTAGAACATGTCTTTAAAATTAAAATCAAACATAAGTTTTCACCTGGTTCAAACACATGGCATCTCAGTGTCAAAACAACATGTCCTGCTCCATCATTAAATCATTCATTCAATAAACACTTGCTGAGCAGTCTGTTTGCCAGTCTCTGTATATAAGAGAAGAGGAAAGTGTCGGTCTCTGCCTTCAAGGAATTTAGATTTTAGTGGGAAAGTCAAACAGAGGAATTAGACATCTCCCTGCTTCTTCTCTTGCCGCATCTTTACAGCTACACTCAAATAAATACTACTACTGATTGAACTGATGGCTCCCTAAACTTCAGGTACCAGTTCATGCAATCTATCTGTTCCTACAATCTTCTAGGTCTTCTAAAGGGCAAATGAGAAGTGTGGAGGGGGCCTTTAGGGTTTTCTCTCACCATGGTAAGTAATCAGTCTCATGGCCTAGGGAAGACAGAGAAAAGCCTGGTGTGGGGCCAACTCATAAATGTGTCTTACCCTCTGCCCACCACCACCACTACACT
Organism: Homo sapiens; assembly: GCF_000001405.40. Classification (NCBI taxonomy): domain Eukaryota; kingdom Metazoa; phylum Chordata; class Mammalia; order Primates; family Hominidae; genus Homo; species Homo sapiens. The sequence continues at coordinate 172,060,334 of NC_000003.12, read as the reverse complement.
CTCACCTGAGGGAACACACCACTACCACCCCCCACCCTAGCAACAGGACTGACTGACATCTAAAAGAATCTAGACTTTTAAATTAAATCTACCATCTTTCATTACTTATATTTATTCAAAAGTTCACTACAAAACTGAGTCACGAGAATCCTAAAAGATAGTATTTGAGAATTGTCAATGGGCCCCACTGACTATGAGGGTTCTCTCTTCGGGAGGGAAACAAATTCTCCAAAAAAACAGATATTTAACAAGCACCAGTCAATTGAGTCCGAAGACCTCTCACAGCTAATAGGAAGTGACTACCTGGCTAAATCTTCACATTCTTGCAAATCCAAATATGTATTCCCTAAAGCTGAAGGCTGGAAGATTTAGATCTAAAGATGCCTAATTGGTTTGAAACATTTCAAAATGACAGTTCTCAATAAGTGAAATCATTCAAAAGGAACTGCCCTAGGAATAAGTAATACATGCCCTCTATTTACCTAAAAGTTTTAATTCACTGGACTATAGATAAACATCCTTACATAAAACCATCCGGTCAGCATCCTGGAAAAAAGTATCATTATGCTAAAAGTTAAGCAAGTTTATACAGTCTATCAGGTATTAATGTTTTCCATGATTACTTTTCCATGGCAAAATGAATTGCGTTATTGACTTAGAAAAATAAACAATACGCCTAACTTGTATTTGTGCCCTGATTTCTTGCCAAATTTAAGTATACTAGATAAATTTCAAATAAATAGGTCAGACAATCTATAACAGAGGCCAGGTGGCCAGTTAATAATCCATAAAGTCACTTTCAAACCTAAATTCTCAATCAAGAAAACAATTTTTCAGATGCAAACTTTTGACTCCCAAATGCCGAGTATCAGGAGAAATTTTTCAAAGCCTTTTAAGTCCTTTATATATAAGCTTCAAATTCCCCCATGCCATGGAGAACAATTAGTGTCAGGAGTCCTGAGGAGAACTAATCTGAGACTTATCCAAAAACCCACTGGGAAGGTGTATGGATCACAGGACTTCTTACTATTAATATCAAAAATGCCACTAGAAACCTCACTCTTTTTTTTTAAGTGAAATATAAATTCAGAAAATATTTTTAAAATGCTCCCAAATATGTATTATGTTACGTGCTATCATCAAAATGTATTTCTACAAAACACACATATAAGTTACACTAGTACTACACTTATTAAAAAAGTAAAGAATTCCATGCTTTGCTGCTTCCTGTAAGCATTAATAGTGACAAATAAATAAGGAAAATAAACATTATGGAAGATGTTGGTTTTGATGAAAACCAGAAACAAAATGTCAGAGGCAAAATGGTCACTGCTCTAGGCAAACTGCTAAAGGTTTTGGGAATTAGGACACGGAGAAAAGAAAATGTTCATAAAACTTTCTTGGTTCATTGATATGCTCCTATGAAGATGGTAGAAACTCCTTGTTTTTCCAATATATCATTTCAAGAAGCAACAAAGAAGCTCTATATGTACAGTCAATACAAAACAAATATATGACCGGAAGTTATGGTGCTAATATGACAGGTTCTGTTTAATAGAAACTACAGATCCATTAAAATGAGATGATTTACTCTGCCTCCTCTAGACACAAAGACTGAATGTCTGCTTCTTGTAGTATTGGCTACTAATACTCCTCTGATTTCAAGCAAGTCCTTTCAACTTAAGGTCCTCTTCTCATTATGTATTTCATGGGAAAATGTGATATTGAGTATCTTAGAATGAATTATATACCAACTGAGGATCTGTAATAGAACATCCCAATAAACCAAATAATATATCAAAATAGCAATAAAAATCTTTTGGCTTATATAAAAAGGAAAAATGTAAGAGGGACATCAACTTGCTACAAAAAAAAAAAAAAGAAAATTAAGGATCTCATTCTTAAAGGACATAACAGTAGCAGAAACCAAGTCAGCCCTAAGATTAGGAAATGTAACTCTGCAAGGCAATATGATTAGAATGTACAAAGACAGGTTCACATTTTTTTCCTCTGTAACACTAATAATATTTTCTTGTTATTGAAACCACAAAGTAATTGATTACCCTAATGAATATACAGATTTTCTTCAACATGAATGTTGCTTCTGAAAAGCAAAACTAATATTCCGAGAGAAAGCTCTGACAAAGCCCTCCTTCAAGCAAGTTTCCAGCAGCCAGTGGGACATGTGAGCAACTAGGCAGTTTGCAAACATGTGGTTAAAACGTCCACAATTGTGCCAATTCTGACAATATTTAAAAAGGTTTCCTAGACACCTAACTTGCACGTAAATCCATACATGATTTCAGTGTGGATTAGGGCCAAATGTCTCAATAATAGAGATTCAGAATTTCAAGTTTTTAAAAATGACACTCCTTCCAGCCCAAGAATCAACCTCTATGTAGCACTGTATGCTTTTTTTTTTTTCCTCCCTGCAAATTAGAAAATTAAATTTTCTTCATTTCCAGCCAGGGGCCACTCAAACAAATCTAATGGGTGTAGACAGCATTTCCTGCCTACTGCAAGGAAATAATGGGATTGTCATTATTAACATGGCCCAAGGCATGCACTGAGGTGGGGCACTGAAGAAACTGACCTTTAATTTTCATCAGTTAGACTGCACTGACTGCCTCATTTAAAAAAAAAAAAAAAAAGGTAGATGTTATTTTTCTCCAGCATTAAAGTCTAACACTAGCTCATTCACTCTCATAGAGCAAGACAGGCTTCGATCCCTATTATCCTTTCCATTCAACTGTGTTTATGTCTAGAAAAAAACCTGCCAGTAAAAGTTTTGTTCTTCCCCCCAACCCCTTTTACTTTTTTGGAGCTAGTCTTCCAATTTACAAGAAGTTGGTGAGGTTTAGGTACCTCTAAAGCAGAGAAACTCTTCTATTGATTGACATCTCTGCCAAACATTCCATGTCATTTCAAAGAAAAGTGCATCCAAACAACAATGAACGGCAAAGGTGGCTAGGATCTCTAGAAATACTTCATGTACTTAACCTGCAACGCACTGTTCCCCCACAGTGGTGTCTTTACACCATGACAGAGATGAAGGATGCTGTCTGCAGTGGTGACCCAGAGATGAAAGGCAGAGCTTGGGAGCCCAACAGCTGCATCCACTAATGTCAAGACCTGATCGCTCTTAAAAAACAGAACAACATCCACAAAAAGAGAGAAGGAATGGGAGGGAGTGACTCCCCTTTATTACAACATTTCTTTGATCTTAGACTTAAGAAAGGAAGCAGAGCTGTCATATATCTATTAAAAAGGGACAACCTCTCTTTAAAGGGGCAGAAAGGAAGAAAAATATTGGTAGAAGTAGCACTTGCAGTAACTAAGTACTGCTTGGCATTCAGATGTGCTTTCCCCCACAGGTGCTTTTGATATATATTATTTCATTTTAGGCCCACACTACCTCACTAAGATAAACAGCTCGAGTATGACATTAAGGATGAGCTGGAAAGCTGTCACATGAACAGAGACACTCAAGGAGCCAAAGGCAAGGTCAAGACAAAACTGATGGCTAATATTCACATACGCTTTTAAAGTAACTGGGAATGTTTTTAAATAATTATCCCATTAAGAAATACATCCAACAATTAAATCTGTCTGTAGTCACAGAGTAAAGCAATAAAATAATAAAACAGCAGCAGCTACCACTTCCTAATCACTAGTTCAAAACACTACGTTGAGCCAAATAGTCATAACAAGACACAGAGATTGAGCATAAAACACTGAGAGTGCTAAGACACTGAGAGACTGGGCAATTAAACCAGTTAGAGATGTGCACAGCACAGTTCCAAACTCAGATGTTTCCAGAGCACCAAAATATTAACTCCAAGTTAAGTGAGTAGTTTCCCATGTCCCCTCCAAATATGAAAACTGTACATTGTAACCGGCTATTATCTATAGACAAGGGCTCAAGAATACCCAAGAAGCATAGTGTCCTTAAAAATGTTTCCTTTTCATCTAACACAACTTGCCATTAAACTTTCTAGAAAATCATTCTATGCTTTCTCATGAAAAATGTTATGAAAGATTATTTCTTGGCTAAAACTGAAACTTACTGAAGATATACAAATACACCAATCTGTGTTAAAAATACATTTTTTAAAAAAAAAAAGTCCTTCATTAGTCTGCCAAGCAGGACGTCTGACATCAGGCTAGAATCCTCCCTCTATTGGACTCACCGATGACTCAGTGGAAACTAGGATTTGGAAAACCTGCCATCCCACATGAAACATACTAGGAACAGGCCGGGCGCAGTGGCTCACGCCTGTAATCCCAGCACTTTGGGAGGCCGAGGCGGGCGGATCACGAGGTCAGGAGACTGAGACCATCCTGGCTAACATGGTGAAACCCCGTCTCTACTAAAAAATACAAAAAATTAGCCGGGCGTGGTGGCGGGCGCCTATAGTCCCAGCTACTCAGGAGGCTGAGGCAGGAGAATGGAGTGAACCCTGGAGGCAGAGCTTGCAGTGAGCCGAGATCGCACCACTGCACTCCAGCCTGGGCGACAGAACAAGACTCCGTCTAAAAAAAAAAAAGAAAGAAACATACTAGGAACAAACTCACTCACCTTCATCAGTGCTACATCCTTCCCTAGCCATCGCCTGTTCTCCCCTACTCACTCCCACTGCCCCTGCTCCTCACGAAAGCAAGGAAGACAAACATGCAACTAGAACGTTAATGGCAAACACTTCAGACCCAAAATCACACTAAATGAAGCTAAAATAATCTATTAGAGACATTTATTTGAATCCTCTGTTCTCTTTTTTGTCAACTAGTATGCCCTCATAGGTTTGAATGAACTCCTGAGAACACTGAACTAATTTAAGAGAACTGCAAAGTGAAACATAAACAGGAAGTGACACTGTTTCCCTGTTTAAATTGAATATAATAAGCAAATGGTAAAAGCTAAAAAGCTATGTTTTCTAATTATTGAGATTGCCACGGGTGTCAATAAGATGTAATTAAAGATACAGGACAATAATCACATAGCAAGAAAATAGGTCCAAAATCAAATAAAACTGGAAATAATTATGTTTTTTCATTAGTGAAGAAATTGTATAGTACATTAAGATATGTATTGCTAAACAAAGCCGGAAATAAAATATAAACCTTAAAAATTGTTATCCATTTCTTCTCCTCCCACTTCACTTTAAAAGAAGGAGGATTTTTTAAAGATGAACTTCCGAAGAGACTCCAAATTACTGACTTTATAGTAATTTATTTAAAAATGAGTATAAATACAAAGCAAATTTTGGTGATGGTGGTGAAAGTGTGAGGTTAGAGAGAAGAGAGTCCAAGCAATTTTAAAGAAATATAAGGAAATAAAACACTCAGATCCTAAAATTACAATCTATTCCTCCTTTGATAGATGCTTAAAACTGTTCTCTTTACCTCTTGAGGTATAATATTGATATTTAAGAAACTATGTACTCTTAAGAAGTAGTTGAGTGCTATGGTAATCTGCATCATGAGGACCTACCACAGCAAGTCCTGAAAGCTGGAAGGAGGCAAAGGCTTCCCCAGCCTCCAACTATAGAGAGAGGGGTCAGGTGGGCAGCCAGCATTAAGTACCACTTCTCTGGAGGTGCTGCACCCCCTACCCCCCTGTTCAGGGGCATTTTTAGCACTTACAGCCTCCCTCCTGAGACAGGAGAGAAAGGAGAAGGTGGTTCTAACAGTCCTCACCATTCTGTGGAAACAATCTCCAGAGAAGCACATAGCTCCTTCTAGACCACGAGGAATATTCCTGTGAAGAAGCCAGAAACGGTTTTTAGGCAATACAGCCTTGGGGGCTGCATCTTCACTTAGTGTCTTTGTCTACACCCCTCCACAAACACAAGGAAAGAAAGCAAGTCAGGCCGCTCTTCAGAGCCTTGTCCTTAACTCACCTTCAGTGAACTCACTTTCTAAAGATGGAGTCGAGCCCTACATGATTTCTAACAAAGGACGCATTTAGGGTTGCCAGCTACCCAGGTTTAGCCTGGGCCGTCTGGGAAAGCACAAGGTTCCTCTGAATCCTGAGGTCACCTTTAATTAACTGCAGGAGCTGCTTTCTGAGTTCTCAGAGATAGACACCCTCTAGTCCTTTGCTCATCCCATCCCTGTGGCTGCCTTGGGTACAACCTACACCACCTAAAAGTATTAACCTTAAAAGGAGAAAAACAGTTAGTATTAGGAATAGGAGGATTTGCTTTTCCAGGTGCAAATTATAGGTACAGCATCTTACTCTTATTAACTGAAATGAAAGGCACTGCGGATGAACAGAACTGTTTTACCAGTGAGTAAAAGGACTCCCTTTCATAGAGTGTTTAAAGTGTCCGAATAAGGTAAAGCTTCACTACCATTTCTTAACCAACTGTCTCAAATTTTTCCCATTCACTCCATTGTGCTTCTTATACATTACTTTCTATGAAGTACACTTTTATCCTCTGGTTTCTTTCATTCTAAGCTTAAGTTGCTACTACAGAGAACAATCTAGGAAAATCTCCCTCTTGGAAAATGTCCAGAATATTGTTTCAAAAGAAGATTTTTTTTTTTTTTTTTTTTGAGACGGAGTTTCGCCCTGTCACCTAGGCTGGAGTGCAGGGCAATGGCGCAGTCTCGGCTCACTACAACCTCCGCCTCCCAGGTTCAAATGATTCTCCTGCCTCAGCCTCCTGAGTAGCTGGGATTACAGGTGCCCGCCACCACGCCTGGCTAATTTTTGTATTTTTAGTAGAGATGGGGTTTCACCATGTTGGTCAGGTGTGTCTCAAACTCCTGACCTCAGGTGATCTGCCTGCCTTGGCCTCCCAAAGTGCTGGGATTACAGGCGTGAGCCACTGTGCCCAGCCTAGATTTTAGTTTTCTAGACAATAGACAGGTTGAGCACATGGAAGGCATTCAGCTAATATTTAGCCTTAGTATTCAGCCACCTGGGAACACAGACACTGTACCAAGTCTAGAGATACAAATAAGATAATTAACTTGAACTATCGAGAAGCAGTGTGATACAGTTAAAAAAAAGTTTTAAAATCACTCTAAGTGACTTAGGAAAGTTTTTTAATGTTTTTGAGTATGCCTTCTCATCTTTGATTCACTCAATAAACACTTATGGGGGCACTCAATATGTACCAGCTTCTGCGGTGGACACTAGAAACACCTACAGAAAAACAGAATATCTTCCAGAATTACTTTTTAAGGAAAGTGTGTTTGTATATAGATAAATGGATGTATACACACAGACACACACAGAATATACATATGGATGGAATACATATTTACATGAAAATGCCTGGCAAGTAGTGAGTGCTGGAAAATTGTTGGCCACTATTACTGTATTTTACATCTGCCTTGTGGTCAGAGGGTTTGGAAGTACAGTGCACAAAAGTGTCCTCATTTCTAAATAAAACTGCCAATAGCTGGCTATCATTTTACTCCAAGGAATATGATGATTAAAACCTTCAATTTTGCCCTATCTCCTAACTGGAGTCCTTTAATCTAAGCACTATTCTCACCTCTTTCCAGCCATTAGATTGAAAACCTTATAGGGACAGATTACCAAGAGGGCCAACTCCCCAACTCCGAGTTCCCCAAACTTGTCTGATCATATAATTCACCTGAAACACTTGATAAGGATTTCCAGATCCCACCCCAGATCTAAAGAACAAGAGCCTCACAGGCACCGCCCCTCTCCAAACACACAGCCCTATAATGTCCCAGGAGATTCTTCTCTTAACAGTCTTTAACTCCCCCTGCAAATAGCTGAGGTCATTCTCCTCAAGTTCTTTCCAAGGCATGCTCTTTGACCCTTTCTCCATGGCTTAGTTTAGCACTAACCAACACTTGGACAGAATCAACTCTTTCAGCTGGGCCTCCAACAGCTCAGCAAGGCACATTTGGGGGAGGAGAGGGTTTCTGTCCCTTAAAATGTCCTTTCTAGAATTTCACTTATAAAAGGATCATTTAAGGCCAGGTGTGGCTCATGCCTGTAATCCCAGCACTTAGGGACGCCAAGGTGGGCGGATCGCTTGAGCCCAAGACTTCCAGACCAGCCTGGGTAACATGGCAAGACCCCATCTCTACCAAAAAAAAAAACCCACAAAAATTATCTGGGCATAGTGGCATTCACGTGGGAGGCTGAGGGTGGAAGGATCACTTGAGCCCAGGAGGCGGAGGCTGCAGTAAGCAGAGATCATGCCACTGCACCCCAGCCTGGGCAGCAGAGCCAGACCCTGTCTCAAAAAAAAAAAAAAGAAGAAGACAGACAAAGATTATTTTTAAAAAGGATCATTTAAAACTACCACAAATCTCTGAAAAGTTACATTATTTTAAAAAATAATTCCCTTAACTTATAATTTGAACTGACTCCAATAAACAAACAAAATGTACATAATTGAGGGCCCATATTTTCATGGAACATAAATACTGCTTTTTGTTCGAATTTTCCAAATCAATTCACAATCTAATAGAAACATGAAAAAAGTCATGTATTCTCTGAAGAACATTCATTTCTTTAAAATAGCAATGAATAAAAAGCTAGGTTTGCACTACAGGTGACTCATGCCTTTCATCTTCATTTGTTCAATTAAATATTTATTAGTTCCCTACTTTGAGGAAAAAACTGAAGAACACCATGGAAACACAAAAATGCCTCAAATATAGGCCATGTTCCAAAGACAGTAGGTTCTTTAGCGGTGATTTATGAGATTTTGATGCACCCATCACCTGGGCAGTACACACTGAACCCAATTTGTAGTCTTTTATCCCTCACCCTCTTCCCAACCTTTCCCCTTGAGTCCCCAAAGTCCACTGTATCATTCTTATTGAAAGGTGCTAAGTTTAAATGGCACATTCAAACTAGGGATCCAGCTACCCAGCCATCAAATGAATATTTACTGTGTACCCACGATTAAAAGACCCCAAGTTAAATCAGAAATCATCCCTACTCACAAATAAGGGAGACAAGGAGACTATTAGACAACAATGAAAAAGTCAAGTCTTCTGAAAAGTACAGATAAAGTGCTAGAAGATATTTAAGAAAATGTTAAGTTAGGAGAAACCCCATCTCTACTAAAAAAAAAAAATACAAAATTAGCCAGGTATGGTGGCGCATGCCTGTAATCCCAGCTACTTGGGAGGTTGAGGCAGAAGAATTGCTTGAAACCGGGAGGCAGAGGTTGCGGTGAGCCGAGATCGCGCCATTGCACTCCAGCCTGGGCAACAAGAGTGAAACTCCATCTCCAAAAAAAAAAAAAAAAGAAGAAAGAAAATGATAAGTTATCTAAAATGATGGCTCTGGAACATAACAAGGATATGCAAAGAAAAGGGGAGATCATTTTCTTTTGAATAGGCCAAAATCATTTAAGAGCATTCTAAATGCAATGTAATAATTCTTCGTATCACTCCTGGATATGAGGAGACCATGACTCTCAATACCTTTTGATATCCGTAATGATCCTACCGCCAGAGAAATTAGTAGGCCACAAAAATGACAGCTATGGTATGAAAAGCTCATTGAGTGGAATTTGTATCAAGCCATTTATATATACAGCAATATATATACACACACACTATATAAAGAGTATATATAGTATATATACACACTATACACACACACACACACACACACACACACACACACGAAAATATACCCACAAAGGCTGGGCGTGGTGGCTCATGCCTGTAATCCCAGCACTTTGGGAGGCTGAGGCAGGTGGATCACCTGAGGTTGGGAGTTCAAGACCAGTCTGGCTAACATGGTGAAACCCTATCTCTACTAAAAACACAAAAATTAGCCAGGCATGGTGGCACGTGCCTGTAATCCCAGCTGCTCCGGAGGCTGAGGCAGGAGAATCACATGAACCCAGGAGACGGAGGTTGCAGTGAGCCAAGATCGTGCCACTGCACTCCAGCCTGGGTGACAGAGTGAGACACCATCTTAAAAAAAAAAAAGAAAATATACCCACAGAGAGTACATGTACACATTACTATCACACCCTTGCAATCTGACACTGTTTTCCAGGAGTTCTGGAATGAATGGTAAACATTTTGTGGTAGTAAATGGTATGTAATTTTCCTTAAGAACTTACCTGCATTTGAATTTAAATCTTTCCATTAGAATTTTTATCTGACATTTTGAGTATACATACTTTTCATCCGACGTTTAGGCTTTGGTATCCCATCACTTAATGAAAATCTTGCCCATCTTTTGGTAAATGATCCAACTATACTCAACATCAAATACCTCACAAAAAAAAAACAGAGGGAGCAGAACCTACTATGCAATCATTAGATGCCAGAGACAAGTTCAGATGAATAAAACAGAATTTATGTGTTTTCTTTCACTCTATCCCTTTTGTAACTTGGTTTTACAGTCTAAGGAACTAAAGAATTCTAACACCTAATGCATTTCCAACATGAGTACAGAGATGACTTACACCATTTCTCTTAAACAGAAATCAAAGTTTTTCCACAGTACTAATGATGTCAAGAATGAATAAAATGTTTAAAGGTTAGGCCAGGCACGGTGGCTCATGCCTATAATCCCAGGACTTTGGGAGGTAGAGGCGAGCAGATCACCTGAGGTCAGGAGTTTGAAACCAGCCTGACCAACATGGAGAAACCCTGTCTCTACTAAATATACAAAATTAGCCAGGGGTGGTGGTGCATGCCTGTAATCTCAGCTACTCGGGAGACTGAGGCAGAAGAATCGCTTGAACCTGGGAGGCAGAGGTCAGGGTGAGCCGAGATCGCGCCATTGCACTCCACCCTGGACAATAAGAGCGAAATTCTATCTCAAAAAAAAGAAACAAAAAACAATGTTTAAAGGTTAGAAAATGTGACAGGTCCGAGTGTACACCTACTACTGGATTTCTAAATGACTCGCTGTGCTATTCAGGATAGATTATCTTCATGTGCTTACATGGTCTGCCAATATTAACAAACTCCCTGATTCATCTCAATATTAAAATGCCCTTTTTTCCCCTCCAGAGATCTACTTTTAAACATTTTCCTCTTAAATTTAAGTCAGTTAATAAAATAAGGAAACTCTCTGATCTCCAAAAAATGGCCTAGGGAAATCTCCATTTACACTGCAACAGCCAGATGAAGAAAAAATAACTATATACCTGCCTGAAGCAGACCAAGGGGGAGTAAAGAGGCATATGGAGACTGTGTAGGATACATCTTCAATATTTACTTTTGCATTTTTTAATTGTCATAAAATATACATAACAAAAAATTTACCATTTTCTGCATTCAACTTAGTGGCATTACATACATTCATAATGTTGTACAACCATCGCCACTGTTCATTTCCAGAAATTTTTTATCATCCCAAACAGAAATTCTAAACCCATGAAACACTATCTCTCCATCTTCCCTTCCCCCAAGCCCTGGTAATCTCTATTCTACTTTTTGTCTCTATGAATTTACCTATCCTAGTCATCTCATGCAAGTGGATATATACAATATTTATCTTCTTGTGTCCGGCTTATTTCACTTAGCATAATGTTTTCAAGATTCATTCATGTTATGGCATGTATTAGAACTGCCTTCTTTTTTATGGCTGAATAATATTCCACTGTACCAAAATATTCCAATATATAATACCATATTTTGTTTATCCATTCATCTGTTGATGGGCATGGGTTGTTTCTACCTTTTAGGTATTGTCAATAATGCTGCTATAAACACTGGCTTTTAAGTACCTGAGTCCCTGCTTTCTTTTGCGTATAGGAATAGGAATGGAATTGCTGAATCATATAGTAATTCTATGTGTAAATATTTATGAACTACAGAACTGTTTTCCACAGTAGCTTTATCATTTAACATTCCCAACATGCAATACACAAGGATTCCAGCTCAATATATTTAAGTATTCTCTAATTCACTACTTCAGAATAATGTTTACCTCTATTTCTTAATCAGAATTATTTTTCTTGAGATTAAAAAAACCATGATCGAAAAATCAGAAACAGCATCTAAAGACTTTTATTATTTTCTTTCCCATTGAATGACTTAAACAATAAAAGATATAGAAGGTATAGAATGGGTTTTTTAAAACCTTTAAAATACTAAGAGAAAATGAAGCATAATATCCTAGAAATACATTAAGTATCCTATATGTACAACTTGTACTGTTAAAAACTGGTCAAATCTGACCCCTAAGTAGACACATACTAGAAAACCTCGCATCTGAGTGACTGAGTATAAAACGTAAAATATCCAGAAATCTTTTAAAAGAAACTTACTCTTATTACTGGCAAGTTCATACAGTACCTGGAACTAAGCTGCCCAGGAGGATCTTGCTTTAGTAAAAGTAGAGGAGAAGGACATGTAATTACCTTATCTAAATACTAAACTCAGGACTCTCCACAATCTTGCCCAAACACAAAGGCAGAAGAAATGAAGCTAAAAGCAATAATGATGCTCTTAAACCTTTAACACCTGCTGTCCCCAATCTGCCATCAAATGCTTACACATGACAAAAGAAGTTAACAAGTAGCAAAACAAATGTCAATAGAAAAACTCCAAAACCAATAAATAGGCATAGTTGGAGTCTATTGGTAGAGTGGAGTGGGGTGGGGGAGGCAGATATTGTGTTTATTGTTGTGATGTATTTTGCAAGCAAATAATATAGTTCTACCCATTGCTGGTAAACTGTTTGTAGTTCACATAATAGCATTGAGTCAATCAATATTTATTTCATGGCAATCCACAGAGAGCACTGACTTTCCAGGGGCTCCTGTATCTCTATGAAAAGACCACCAGCAGACCAGCATCAGTGAATGCATTCTGCATTTTTACACTGCTTTTAAGTAAATTGATTTTCCCAAGGTGCTTAAAAGTGGTTTGTTCTTTTAATTAGGTAAATATTCCTCTTAAGATCTATTTAAACTTGATATTTACAGTAAAACCTTTTCATACAGAATAGGCAGCCAAACTTTATCCTAGCCTTGCCTAGATAATTGCAAATCCCTAATTAGCTACATCTAGAACAATGGCGTTATTTTTAATAGAGACCCCTCTTTCATAGGCTATGGGGAATCTTAAATCCCTTAAAAATAAATTAAACCATTATATTTCCTGGGATCTTAGAATCTTCAATTATTTCTAAAACATCCCACCTTTGTTCATGTATAAAGATCACTTTCTACACAATTATTTCAACAGAAAGCTTTTCATAATTGTGAGTTAGGATCATGTCAATTTAAGTAAGTTTTTATGACTAGTTGGCCTTTATGAAAATCTTTACTACTCTTTCCAGGGTCAAAACAAAGATGTATCCTTACATTCTAATATAATTTAGAAGCCTTAAAGTCTAACACAGCCTGAAGGTGCTCCAATTTTACTATTTCTCAAATTTCAGAAGGTAGCAAAGAGTTGAACTTACCACCATCCAGCCTTAGGAGTTTGGTGGTAGACACTGTTCTCTATACAAGATTCCAAAAACATCAGAACAGAGTAGAACATTCCATTAACAAAGAACCTGGTCTAGATCTCAACAAATGCATTCTGAGTCAATAAACAAGTAACTGAAATGAAATTACATTTTAAGCTCAAATAGAATCATTTAACACAAGACACACTTTGATACTTACTAGAACCTCAAATAACACTGTGACTCAACACCATCTCAGAAAAATCCCCTACCACCCTGCAAAATGGTTATTTGAAACTGATGAGGTATTTTAATGATATTATAAAAACAAAACAGGGCCGGGCAAGGTGGCTCATAACCTATAATCCCAACATTTTGGGAGGCTGAAGCGGGGGGATTGCTTCAAGCCAGAAGTTAGAGACCAGCCTGAGCCACAAAGTGAAACCCTGTCTCTATAAAAATAAAAAAAAAAACATTAGCCAGGCATGGTGGCGTGAACCTATAGTCCTAGCTATAGCCCTACTCAAGGATCACTTGAGCCCAGGAGTTCGAAGCCATAGTAAGCTATGATAGAGCCACTGCACTCCAGCAGCAGTGAAACACTGTATCTTAAAAAAGAAAAAGAAAAAAAATTAGGAGCCAATGTCTAAACTGACACTGAGTAGTGAGTGCCAAGGGCATCAGAAATTCTGATCCAACACTTACAGAATGCTAAACTTGCATATCTTAACTGGGGAGAAACAAAGAAAAATTCAACAATCGATCCATTTTCAAACTGACAAACATCCTCATCTGTATGTAGATGGCTGATCACGACTGTCTATCGATCTTATGTGATTTATACTTGGTGGTTTTAAAAACATTTCTGTCCCCTGATCTTCAACTGGCACCCCACATACCTTCTGTTTCCAAGAACTGGTCCTTGACATTAAACCTGCACCACAAACAAACTCCCCTCCAGGTGAGCTTGTTACTAGGGTCTGGCATCTCACTGGAGGTACCTTGCAAAGTGCTCAACTACCATCAAGTCATCCTTCCAGTTGGGCCTGTGCTTGTCTACCTGCCCCTATCTAGCCACAATAATTCAAGCATTCTCTCCCTCTTTACAACACATAATGCCATAACCATAATATATATTTTAAGGCAAAGTGTATATATATATATAGAGAGAGAGAGAGAGAGAGAGAGAGAGACACTCAGTAAACTAAAGTACAAAGCTTCTCCTCAACCACCTAAGTGAATTCTCAACAGCCTTAAGAGTGAGAATTAATTTACTTGAAAATAATGTCTTACCATATAAATATCCCACTTAATGGATTAACCTCGTTAACAAGAAGAAAAGGCAATTGTGATTTCTAAAGTGGAAAGGCAGGTAGGTTGCAAAGACTCCCCTACACTGAAAATACGATTCTTTTCCATTCTCAGCTGTAATTGCTGAAAGCTCAAGTAATAGGCTAAGGTAACATACAAGGCCTAAAACCTTATTCCTTTATCATTCAGTACTGAACGTTCCTCTAAGAGACTGCACTTTTTCCCGCCACCTCAAAAACAGCCCTGAATCAAGCCTGGCCTGCCCACTTCAGCAACACTAGCCCAGCTACAGACCAGCTTCCCAAAAACACAGATATGGGACAACTTATGTATAGTACAACTTTGCAGAGGTCACAAATCACCTATTCCATTAGGAGTGGGGTAAAATAAAATACAACATCTAAAGCTTGGACCTTGTTTACTGATCACAAAGAGAAAAATAAATCATTTTTCAAACTGTCCAAGCACAATTTGGAGGTCTCTGAAAATGTGCAGAGAAATACCATAGCACCAGCTCAGTTTTAAACTCTGGAATATAATGAACTATGGAGTTTGTATAAGGCTTTGCCAAACACTTCTCAATACACTGACTCATTAATCCCTTGTGACACCATTTGAAAAGGTACGAGTTAGATCTTTCCTCCTTATATTAAAATGAGGAAACCCAGACTCAGAGAGATTCAAAAGCTTATCAAGGACCCAGCTAGAAAGTAAAGTCACTCCTTGACAGAGGAGATATTCTGATTTCAAACTGATGCTCAGATGTGGCCCTCAATTTTTGTCCATCATTTAAACATCTTTATGCCTTAAGATTATAGTACATTTCTCATTTGTATTAAGCACTTGGGGATGTCCTACAAATCAAACCATATGTCATGGGTTAAATCATGTTTCCTATATTTGTCACACTCACTAGGACACTATAATTCTATTTATAACATGGTTCTTATCCTGAAAATAGTACAGTGGTATCTTATCCTTGAAAATAGTACAGTGGTCCCAATGGTCAGGAATGGGTATGAACAGGATGTTTCAGTTATCTGAACAGTCTCAGTAACTGACGCCTTACCTGCAGTTGAATTAACGATTTTCAAAGAGCTGGAAGCAATGTAATTCACATAACACTAAAATAACATAGAACAATTCAAAGATAATTTACAGACATAGGTCCTCCAGGATATGTCTAGAGTTAAGACTATGAACTGCAATTATCCCAGGACAGTACCATAACTATGGAAGATACAATAGATTCAGATATATTTATACTGAACCTGGCAGTTGCCTCTTAAAAATCCTAATAAAAAGAGATTACATTATAATTTGCCTTTTCCTGAGGGTAGCACACCAAAAAAAAAAAAAAAAAAAGAGTTGGAATTTTCACTATTCCATACAAAATCAGAAAGTTGTTGAAATTCCTTTTAGCAAATGAAACTCTAAAATTCAATGAATTTAAATTAAATCCACTAATCAGAAAATGATTTGAACATCTGCCATCGGACAGATCTTTCTTACTGTTTTAATCTTACACATATTCTTCCCAATTCATGGATGAATCCAATGTGTTTGATATTTGATTTCTATACACTGAGAGTAAAAGAATAATTTTAATTCTTCAGGTTACTTCTGCAGCTACATAAGGAAAAGTGAGTAATGGTTTACTGATACTTACAAAGTCTGAAAAGAACTGTCCAATGAACGGATGGACGCGGGTATGAGAGGATCGTTTTTTTCAGCTTTCTATTAGTGACTTTTCATATTGCTTCCTATTTGTACTCTTATTACACTAAAATAACCAACAAGTTCTGACTACTTTTTCAGCAATTCCTATGCACAATTCCTATATTAAACCAAAAAAGATACAATTTAAAGATTTTTCCACCAGTTTTAACTATGACATGTAAACATTGTTTTTAAAACCAAAGAGTTAACAAATAATGTGCGTATTTTATCCACTCTACATATGAAAGCAAAGTTGAGCTATAGCTAACTCAGTCTTTAAATTCCATTTAAGGGCTGAATGTAACTTCTGATATCGTAGAAGAAAGAAAAATGAACTAAGAGATCTAAAGAGCAGTATGCAGCCTGGACAACCTAGTGAGACCTGTCTCTACAAAAAAACAATAATAATAATAAATAGCCTGGCATGGTGGCGTGCACACCTGTAGTACCAGCTACTGGAGAGGCTAAGGGGAGAGGATCACTTCAGCCTGGGAGGTGGAGGCTACAGTGAGTGAGCCAGTGATCATGCCGCTGCACTCCAGCCGGGGTAACAGAGCGAGAGTCTGTCTCAAAGTAAAATAAAGAGCAATATGACCAAGCTACATGTGAAAGATTTGGGAGTCAAAAAGTTCTACACTTTGCTCTCCAATATGGTAACCACTAGCCACAAGTGGAAATTTAAGTTTAAAATAATTACAAGTAAATAAAACTTAGTCCGGGTGTGGTGGCTCACGCCTGTAATTCCAGCACTCTGGGAGCCCGAGGCGGGTGGATCACCTGAAGTCAGGAGTTCGTGACCAGCCTGGCTAACATGGTGAAAACCCGTCTCTACTAAAAAATACAAAAAATTAGCCGGGCGTGGTGGCAAGCGCCTGTAATCCCAGCTACTCGGGAGGCTAAGGCAGGAGAATCGCTTGAATCCGGGAGGCGGAGGTTGCAGTTAGCCGAGACCGCGCCACTGCACTCCAGCCTGGGCTACAGAGCGAGAATCCATCTCAACCAGCAAGGCGGAGGTTGCAGTGAGCCGAGATTGCGCCACTGCACTCACTCCAGCCTGGGCGACAGAGCGAGACTCCATTTCAAAAAAAAAAAAAAAAACTTAAACTGTTGTTCCTCAGTCCACTAGCTACATTTCAAAGACTCAGTTACATGTGGCTTGTGGCTGCTATGCTGGACAGCACAGACAGAACCATTTCCAACACTGAAGAAAATTCCATTGGATGACACCATTGGTAGCTACGTGATCTTATGCAAGTTACTCTCTCTCTGTAAATCTCAATCCCCTTGTTTGTAAAGTGTGCATAACACAACCTAAATCGAAAATACTAGAATTTTAATGAGATAATGTATAAAAGCACAGGAATTAGTGCTTAGTACACATCAGATATCCCAGAAAGGAGCTATTAACACAATCCTGTATTAAACTTTCGTCTATAATGGTGACCCTCAACAAGTCACTTTCCCTTCCCGGGCCTCATTTTCCAAACTGACAAGTGTGGTAAGTTCTTCTACTTAGCTCCTAATGAACTTATCCATCAAATGCTACCAGGTTAAATACTGAGCAAAAGGAGCACAAACTCCTACTGAGTGAACTGCTACCTAGCCTCCAAGGGCCTAGAGCTTCCTCACAGATCCCAAGCATTCTTCAAGAAACCGCAGAAGACTGGCTCTCCAATATAACCCATCGTCTGATGTGAGCTATTTATAAAGTCTGTATTAAAAGATTACCGGAATATCTTTCTGAAATTGTATATACTGTAATTAGAAGCTACAACCTCCTATTTCATGATGAGATCCTGCAGTTTTAGCATCTTTTAAATGAACGCTATCCTTACAGATGAATTTTTTTTATCTTAAAGTAATTTAAACCACAACACTTTAAAAGCACGTGTGAGTTTAAAAACAATTTTGTAATGACTGATTTTTTTTTTAATCAACTATGCCTCATTCTCAGCCAGCCTGTGGGTGCCCCTCTGGTATCTAAACAAAGTGAGAATTGTACCTTCATGGGTGAGGTCCTTTTGCAGGGCCAGAAACATGCCCAGAGACTTTATCCTCGTTAACAGCTGCTCCCAGGGAGCCAGGAAATTTACTGATCCAGTAAATTTCAGAGTCAGCCTCCAATGAGGGGGAACCAAGGGCCCCCACAAAAGGCACAAAACCAGCGCTCCCGGCTGCTATCCACTGTGGGGCGTTGCCCGGGCACCCAGGTTCATAGCTTTAACTTAGGGGTGGAGGAGCAACTCCGGCAGCAGAAATCATTACAGAGCGAAGCAATTTTGCCCAAGGCCTGAGGCCTCAAAAAAAAAGTGTTATTCCAGAGCAGATTCCTTTTCTTCCGGGTCTGTCTGCTCCTTCTGACTCTTTGCCCACAACCACCGTGCCTCCCCATTCCCAACGCCCCACCTCCTGCCACATTTATTTAAAAAAAAAAAAAAGAAGAAGAACAAGAACAAGAAGGAGGAGGAGGAGAAGAGAAGGAAGGAAGGAAGGAAGGAAGGAAGGAAGGAAGGAAGGAGAGAGAAGGAGAAAGAAAGAAAGAAAAAGAAAGAAAGAAAGAAAGAAAGAAAACGATTTTTAAAAAGCATATTCCCTCTCCCTTAGCTTTCCCTAGGAAGGCCTGGAAACTGAAGGAAATTCAAATCAAATTAGTTGCACATTAAAAAATAAACAGACAAGCAATCAGGGGGTGCCCACCCAACAAAAGACCTCACCCGTTCCAAAATATGATTAAGCCTGGGAGGGAAGAGGGGGAGGGGGGACTAGAAACCAGCAGGGATGGAGAGAGAAACCTGTGGATTTTTGGCCCCAGCGTTGGCCCATTGCGGCCAAATTCTAAATTTTGTTTAAATAAAATGCTGGGTTGAGGAGAAAAGAAAACAAAAAGTTATAACTTTTAAGGAAGTCTGCAAACGGCACTGTCTGGATAAAATGCCATTGCTTCCCTTCGTCTGGGATGGCAGGGTGGGAGCTGAGATTCCAAAAGCTCCAACTCCGACCGCGCACTCCTGGAAGCCTCCCCGCCAAAGGCGCCGCCGGGCGGCGCAGCCCAGTCTCCCGAGACGGCGGGCCCGGGTCCTCCGGTTCCCACGGGACGCCGGGACCCGGACCTCTGGGAAAGTTCGCGGGCACAGCCCGAGGCCCCACTTTCTGCCGAGAGTGACAGGCCCTTCCCACGCCTGCCGGCCCCAGCCCAGCCGCGGGCACCAGACGGTCCGCGCGGCCCCTCCTGGCCGCCTCGGGGCGCAGATTCCGCCCGCCCGCCCTATCCCCGGCCGAGGCGCCCCTCGGGGTGACCGACTGACCGGAGCTCCGCTGGCCCACACACCGGGTCGCCCGCTCCTTCCCGCCGCGCCCCGCTCCCCCGCCCGAGCTTCCAGCCGCCGGCTCGCCAAGTCCGGCCGCGGCCGCCGGTTACCGCCCCCAGCCCGGGGGGAGCCCGGGGGGCAGGACGGGGAGGAGGACGTGGCGTGCTCGGAGGTGGCCAGCAGCGGGGCGGGGAGTGTCCCGGAGAGGCCCAGCCGGGGACGGGGGGGCCAGGCCGGCGCGGGCTCGGGACCCTCCCCGCGAGCATCCCCGGGTTCGAGGCCCCCGACCGCCCCCGCCGGCGCGGAGAGGCGGCCCCAACTTCCAGCCCCACTTCGCACTCCCGCCCTCTTCCCTCCACCATATGGAAATCTACAGCCTCAGAAAGTGACACGTCGAAGATTCCTCGGCCTCGCCGCCCGCCCTCCCCCTCCTGGGCAGCGTTCCTGCCGCGGAGATTCCGGGAGGGGGAGCGGATTCCTCGGACAAAATCTGCTGGGAAGGCTGGGGGTGGGGGGAGGCCGCGAGCCACTGCCCAATTTTTTTTAAGAGGAATCTACCCGTTTCTTTCACTCCTCCAAACCCTGAGGCAGGGGGCACAGGCGGGGGACCCCAGCCCAGCAAGGCGGGGGCCGCCCCCTCCCGGGTCCCGTGTTCCCGGGGTGCCCAGGCGAGCACGGGGCGCCCCAGCACTCCGGCGCCAAGTTTTTGCCGGGAAGCCCAGGGCGCTCCCGGGACAGGGACGCACTTTGGCGGACTCGGCGTCAGGCCGGGGCTTTCCAGTGCACCGGGACCCGGCGATCGCGCTCGGGGTCCCGGTCTCCTCTAGTCCCCGGCTCTTGCACGCCTTACCTTCCCTAGGGCTGAAACGCGGGGCTCTGGGCGCGCCACACACCGGGTCGCCCACGCCTTCCCAGCCGGCAGCCTGGAGGATCCCTGCCGCCCCCTTCGCTGCTCCCGCCGCCGCCGCTCTCCTCCTCCAGCCGCCGCCGCCGCCGCTCAAATAACTACCAGGAGGGTTTGATGGGGGATTCCGCCATGTCAATGATGTCGGGACCACATGGGGATTTGGGGCCCGCCCATTACCGTAAACCGCCGAATATACCGGCCGCCACAATCGCAGACTCGCAGAAGCTGTTGTCCCCCGGCCCTGCCTAGCTAAGCAGAAACTCCTTTTGGTTCAGCCAGACTAAAGAAACCTGAGGCTTAGGGAACTAACAACTCCTGAATGGCGAGGGCTGCGCGTTCTGCAGATCGCCAAAGTAATATAAAGGCAATGTTTACTCAGTGATAATTAAGCCTAAAACTGACTTTTTTTCATTTACACATATATTTCGCTTTTTGTTGTTGTTAACCCCCACAGCAACCTTGTGAGCTATATTACTCCCACATTTCCCACAGCATTTTATTCATACAACTAACATAGTATGAGCAATTTTTATTATACTTAAGTTAAAATCTCTCTTTCCTCTTTCTTTTTGTTTTTTGTTTTTTGTTGTTGTTGTTGTTTGTTTTGGGGACTGCAGGCACGGGGCAGGCATGAGCCACCGCACCCTTTTTTTTTTTTTTTTTTTTTCCTTTTTTGGAAGAGAGGGGGTCTCAATAGGTTGCCCAGGCTGGTCTGGAACTCTGTCGCTCAAGTGATTCTCCCGCCTTGGCCTCCCAAAGTGTTGAGATTACAGGCGTGAGCCAACTCACCCAGCCTTATTTCACAAT